>NC_000006.12:14150909-14302424 GCF_000001405.40 Homo sapiens
ATGAGGGAAGGGGGGAAGTAGGGGGAGATGCTGGGGTCTTGGGGGCAGAGCAGATGGGGACTGACAGCCTGAAGGATAAGAAAGGAGAAGGGAGGATTCCAAAGAGTCAAAACAGACTATTCAAAAATCGATTTCTTGGATTTTGTGTTGCCATAGCTCAAAGGGGAGCTGAAAAAAGTGGATGAGGGGTGGCCATGCCTTTGGGGTCAAATATGTGGAGTCTGAATCCTAACTGTGCTGGTCACTTACTTTGAGATATGACTCTGTACCTCAGTTTCTTCTGTTGTTGCCACCATGAAGACTAAACAACCCATCCTCACGTTTGCTCACTGGCACTTCTGGGAGTCTGTTTCAAGGCGTGGAGTGGGCATCATTGCAAGATCATGATGACAAGAGTTTGAGTCCAGGGTTGTGTGAGCTCACTGCAGTCCCTGGAGGGGAGATGCTAGGACTTCAGCAGGCACAGGAGAAGGGCATCATGTGCCTATGGACTGGAACAAATAGAGCATGAGCAAGTAATTTAAGAGAAAATAACTTAGGAGGAAATCCAAGTCGAAGCCAGGCAGGCTATCTTTTTCTTTCCCTTCCTTCCTTCCTTCCTTCCTTCCTTCCTTCCTTCCTTCCTTCCTTCCTTCCTTCCCTCCTTCCTTTTTTTTGAAAAGGAGTTTTGCTCTTGTTGCCCAGGCTGGAGTGCAATGGCATGATCTTGGCTCACCACAACCTCCGCCTCCCGGGTTCAAGCAATTCTCCTGCCTCAGCCTTCCAAGTAGCTGGGATTACAGGCATGCACCACCATGCCTGGCTAGTTTTGTATTTTTAGTAGAGACGGGGTTTCTCCCTGTTGGTCAGGCTGGTCTCAAACTCCTGACCTCAGATCTACCCACCTTGGCCTACCAAAGTGCTGGGATTACAGGCATAAGCCACCGTGCCCAGCCCAGGCAGGCTGTCTTAAGGAGCAGAGTATATTGTGTTTACTGGATCTTTCCAAATAGGGCCCCAGCAGCTAGACACTGAATGCAGATGCCCTCTGAGCAATGAATAATGGAGCACCACACTTGGATCTGGGCATTTAAACATTTATTAATACAGGACATTCCCCCTCCTCCTCCCCCTTCTCCTCTTCCTCCTCCTCCTCCTCTTCCTCCTCCTCCTTCTTCTTCTTCCTCCTCCTCCTTCCTTCTTCCTCTTCCTTCTTCCTATTCCTCCTCCTTTTCCTCCTGCTTCTGCTTCTTCTCTCTGTCTTCTTTCTTTTTTTTCTTCTTTTTCTTCAGCAATTGCCTTATTCTTTGGGATCAAATTGGTTAGAGATTATTTAAAGCTATATATGAACATATAATTGGCCACTTCTTCCTGATGTGGTAGTTGTGTGTTTGAATTTAATAATTCTAAATACAATATTTTATATTCAGCCCCACTAAATTTAATCTTGTTTGTTTTGATCTCTTGTTCCAACTTGCCAAGATCGTTTTGAGACTCAGCTCTGTCTTCCAATATATTATGTCACCCCCAGCTTCAAATTTGATATTCATGTTTGATAAACTTTAATTAACATAAATGTTGAAAAGATAAGGTTGGGATCTTCTACAAAATCTGTAGCATTCCATTAGATATCTTCCAGTTTAATATCAATCCTGTAATCCAATCTCTTTGGGTAATTGCAACCAGCCAGCTATTGATCATCTCACACAATATGTGGGATACACAATCTACTCCTCTTTAATGGTAACGGGCATGCTGCGTAGGCCAAGCCTTTACCTTCCATCCTGTCTGCACCGCATCCCTTCCAAGGGAAGCTTCTTTACCTAACCTCCTTCTCAGGCAGCCTGGGTTTATATTCTGTCATCACACCCCCTTGCTAGCTAACCCTGACTCCACAGCAATAATCCTATTAACTTTGGCCTAATGTAAAAAAACTGGATCAATCATATCCTCTAATTTTAAAATCTGAACTAGGAAAATAAAAAGAATTTTGTAATTTGCAAGTGATCGGGAAGTGAATGGATATTGTGGGGTTAAGGTGGGGCTGAGGCAAGCCAAGGCTTCTTTCTTTCTGGAGAGAGACAGACAGAGATAAGGAGGAGGTTTTGGGCTTCTTTTGTATCTTAGATTACCCTGAGAATCTTACAAAAGCTACAGACTCCCCTTGCAGAGAAATGCATAAATGAACAATTTGCTTACAGTTTTAAGATGTTTATAGACCTTCCAAATTTTGGAGAAATTGGCCCTAGAGAAGAGATAATAAAGTCAATACTGTGAAAATGAAGAGGATATACAGAAATAAATAGGGTTGGAGAGAGATGGATACCCCCAGACCTGCCTCATTTGCTGAGGTCTCCGGGTCTGATCCAGACCCTTCCACAAAACCTCCCTTCTCTTGAGATAAATTGAACGAGTCCCAGTTACTGCAGCTAAAGGTGCCTGCCTGAAATAATCAGGTCAACATCTACTCAGTCATTGGAGTCCTAAACCCTAGAGTCCTATCTCTAACTCCAGACATCACTTTCCAAAGCTCTGTGCTTGCCCCATGACCCTTCTTACTGTGCTGATATTCTGGGGTGAACCCATCCCTCTGTATCATTTATTTGCCTGTATCCTAATGATTTCTATACCCCTAGCCCAGAATGCTCCCCAAACCTTGGACTCAAGTATCCAACCACCAGCTGAACATCTCTACTTGGTTGTCCCATAAATAATATAAATGCAACATGTTCGAAACTGAACTCATAGCTTCCTTACAGACAACAAAAGAAATAAGCAACAATTTAAAAAGGCTCACACAACGGGTCTTCTCTATATATGCTTTGTGTGTTTGTTTGTTTGTTTTGTCAACAGTATCCATTCCAAGAAACCTAAGAAACATCACAGAAACCCTTCCCTCACCT
Source organism: Homo sapiens (assembly GCF_000001405.40). Classification (NCBI taxonomy): domain Eukaryota; kingdom Metazoa; phylum Chordata; class Mammalia; order Primates; family Hominidae; genus Homo; species Homo sapiens. The sequence continues at coordinate 14,153,792 of NC_000006.12, forward strand.
AACCTCAGTCCAATCAATCACTCCGTTTTGCCCATTCTATCCTTTGGAGAGTTCTCATACCTGTGTGTTTCTTTCTCCCCACTACCACGATCCTTATTCCACCATCCTCATCCATCACCTGGATGAGGTTTGTTGCAAAATAAAACCCTAATTAGTCTCCCTGTCTCCAATCTTGACCACTCCAATCTGTCTTCCAGCTGCAGCCACATGCTCAGTTTAAGTTACAAATCTAAGACACTCCCATTTAAGGCTCTTTGGTAGTTCCAAGTAATCTATGAGATAACGTCCACAAGTCCTGTAAGACATAGGGACCTCCAAGACCTGCCTCCTGCTTATTGTCCATCAGGCCCCATCTCCTGTCTCTCCCTACCTGACGCTTTATGGCTCCAGCCAACTGACCTTCTCACATTTCCGGCCCAGACCATCCTATTTCCTGTCCCAAGACTCTGCTGGGGATATCCTTCTACAGGTGGAAGTTTTCAGGTTCCTGTTCAGCTGAATTCCTTTGGAGGTGGGGGTGTTTTGGAAAACTACATACATATATACAAAGTTACTGATGCTGTCATAAAGAAATGAGGAAGAATTGTACATCACAGACCATATGGCCAAGCATAAAACCCCCTTTGAAGATACCTAATTTATGGAATTTATCTAGTGTTTACTGTCTAAGGTGCCCAGCGTTCGTCTGATGGTCTCTTCATGGCTCCTTTATACTCCAGTTGACTTTTACCCTGCAACCTCGTCAGCAATGCTGTCCAGCCTTTCCCTTCTCTTGTATTTCTCTTTGTCCACTCTAGATTTTCTTTTTAAAAGTATAGTTTTCTTTTGAATTTTTCTACCAGCATCCTTCAGCTTAGCACTCCATTAGCAGAAGCAACATTTCTCCAGGGATGTGTCTTTGTTGGAAGGCAAGGTGAATCTGAAATAATACGTGAATTTTAACTAATAAGTGAACTTTGAAGAATATATAAATTTTTAAATAACAGTTTTTTTGGTTACAAAAATTTCTGCTCAATGAAAAAATGTTAGAAATCACACAGAATTATAAAGGGGGTTATAACAATTACCACATTGCTAACTACCACCGGCATAACATATAACATATTTCTCTCTTTCTCTCTCTCTTTCTCTCTCTCTCTCTCTCCCTCCCTCCCTGTCTGCCTCTATCCCTCTCTTTCTGGTTGGGTTTGAATCCCCACAAGAAACCAGGAGGAATCTCTCCTAGGACCTCCTGGAATGCTGAAATCAAGTCTAACTTGCAAAAAATTCTGATGACAGTTGAATGTTTTCTTTTCTTTTGACAGAAGTAAACTGCCACAACTTGGAAACCCAGTGGTACTCATTCCCTTGTTTTTAAAAAATTGATGGATTAAATATTGAATAGGTGATATATTCATGGGGTTCAGAATTTTAGGAGTATAAAAACTGGTCTTAAATATGTCTGCAAATTCTTTGACCCTCTTCCCATCAAAGACAGAGTCTAATTTCTCTCCCCTTGAATATGGCTTGCTCTTAGTGACACAGTTTCTTGAGTATCCATCCAGAGATTTTTATGCACTTGAAAAAGATATATATTCTTTTCTCTCCTTTTCACTCGTTGTTTCATATCTTTTTTTTTTTTCAGCTAGCAGCATATATTGGAGATCTTTTGTTCTTTTTTACACCTTAATAATATTTCCTTGTCCAGGTCCCTTTTTAATGGACATTTAGGTAGTTTCCAATCTTTCTCTCTTACGTTGTTGCAACAGATAATCTTGTACATACATCATTTTGCATATGTGTGGGTACAACTGTAGGATAAAGACTGTGAAATGAATTGCCAGGTCAAAGGGTAGGCACATTTGTAATTTTAATAGATATTGCCATATTGACCTTTGCGTCCATCCAATTTATTTCCCCTCCAGTGATAAATGAGTTCCCTTTACTCCAGGCCTCACCAACTGAGTATGTTATCGGGGTTTTGGATCTTTGCCAATTTCAGCAGCAAATAATTGTATTTCAGGGTAGTTTTAACTTGTATTTTTTTGTGAGTGCTGTGAACATTTTTCATATTTTAAAGAGCCTTATTATATTTACTTTTCTATGAACTGTTTATATCCTTTACTCATTTTTAAATGGATTAACCATCTTAAAAAATTAATTTGCATGAAAACATGCATGGTGGGGAAATTAGGTCTTTGTCTGTGATGGAGGAAGTAGATATTTTCCTGATTTGTCATTTGTCTTTTTGACTTTGCTTGTAATGTTTATTGCATAGAGAATTTTCATTTTATGTTTTCATGATAGAATTTTATTAACCTATTCTTTTATAATGTCTGAATCTTATGTTGGATAAGTTGTTCCCATCTCAACTTATTAAATATCCTCTCATGCTTTCTTCTACTATTTTGGGGTTTTGATTTCTTACATTTGGAATTTATCCAGGTGTAAGGTGTGAGGCACGGATCCAACTTTATCTTTTCAAGATGGCTTCTTCTGTGTTGATTCAACACCACCGATCAAATAATCCACTTTCTCTTTACTCAATTGGGATGGCATCTATATAATGTATTACATTCCCAGATGTGTTTCAGTTTATTTCTGGATTCTTTATTTTGTTCCATAGACGTGTCTGTCTGTTCTGAGGCAGTACCATACTGTTTAGTTACTGCCATTGTAGAATATAGAGTTGAGTGTGACAGCTCTTTTAGAATTTATCTAACAGGGTTTCCAGTTTTCACTGTATACCATCCTTGCCCCTCAAAAAGAGTATGTATGGTGGGCCCTCTGTATCCACAGATTCTGCATCTGCAGATTCAACCAACCTCATTGAAAACATTCAGGAAAAAAACACAATAAAAATAACAATACAATGATGAAAAATATACAAATTTTAAAAACAATACAACAACTAATTACGTAACATTTACATTGTATTAGTATTATAAGTAAGCTAGAGATGATTTAAAGTATATAGGAGGATGTGCATAGGTTATACGTAAATATGGCACCGTTTTATATCAGGACCTGAGCATCTGTGGATTTTAATATCTATGGGAGTCTTGGAACCAATCCCCCATGGACACTGAGGGACTGCTGTATTTTAATATCTGGTATATATATTCCCCATTCATTGTTCTTCTTATTCACATTTTCTGAAATAAATCTTGTTTATTGGCCCATATGAAATTTTGAATCACTACGTCTGCATTTTTAGAAATGCACATCTGAGGTACATGTTTACCAATACCTTTAAAGCTTGGATCCTGTGGCTCCTTCCTTCCTTCCTTCCTTCCTTCCTTCCTTCCTTCCTTCCTTCCTTCCTTCCTTCTTTCCTTCCTTCCTTCCTTCCTTCCCTCCTTCCTTCCCTCCTTCCTTCCTTCCTTCTCTCTCTCTCCCTCTCTCTCTCCTTCTTTCTTCTTTCTGAAAGGGTCTTGCTCTGTCCCCCAAGCTGGAGTGCAGTGGTGCAACCTTGGCTCATTGCACCCTCAGTCGCCAGGGCTCAAGTGATCCTCCCACTTCAGCCCCTCAAGTAGCTGGAACCACAGGTGCATGCCACCATACCTGGCTAATTTTTTGTAGAAATAGGGTCTCCTGGTGTTGTCCAGGCTTGTCTCCAACTCCTGGGCTCAAGCAATCCTCCCAACTCAGCCTCCCAAAGTGCTGGGATTACAGGTGTGAGCCACCATGACTGGCCTGGCCACTTTCTTCCAAAGGTTTTTATCTCTTTCACATTCAATCCTAAATGGTTCTCACTGGTTGGTGAGAGACGATTCTAAGGGATACAACTTCTATTACTCCCTGAAGGTGAAATTATTAGCAAGATAAGTCAAAAAAGCCATGTATTTGGGGTACACAGTCTTTATCACTGCCTGGAGACTTTAAATCCATCACTAGTAATGGGCAGATGTTAGGAGAGCACCAGTAATACCCTCCGTCTGGTGGGGCAGCCTATGGTATATACTCAGTCTCCACTCACACACAGTCCCCTGGGCTTTCCTCTCCATATGTATGGATTTCCATACTCATTTATTCATCAGCTATTTTGGGGGAACCCACTATGTGCCAGGTACTGTTATAAGTAATGGTGATGCAACAGCGAACAAAACAGATGAAAAATATTCTCTGCCTTTGTGGAGCTCACTTTTTAGGTAGCTGATAGAATTTGCTATAAAAAATATATATATATATAGTGTATATCATATATATTATATATATCATATATAATATATATATCACATTTGCATGCACACATATATGTTATGTATATATTTATATTATTTTTATATGTATATATTTTGTGTATATGTATTTAAAAATAAAGCTGTACTCTTCCTTTGCCAAAACCAAGTCAAGAGCTGCAGGCCAACATCATAGATATCTGTCGTTCTTGGCTGCTCAGCATTCTTTCCTCTTCCTCTGACTTTCCTTTGGGGAACCATCTTTCCCACCTCTGGGGATGAGGAGGCTCAATGATAGTACCTCACACCCTTGCTCTTTGTGATTGGACAATAATTATGTGCTTTGTTAAGCCAGAAGGAGACCCCAGGACTCTTTCTGGAATAATTTAGGAAAAGGAATTTTTCACACTGGGTTTACTAAGCTGATAGAAGGTAAACTATACTCTCTAGTGACCATCTCAGACATAGTTCAAGTGTAAAAAGTTTATTGAGGATAAAGTCAACACAAGAGAAAGCAAGACCAGGAGATTTTACTTCTATTTTACTGACATAATTTGAGCTCCTCAATCTACCTGATGTGGTTTGGATTTGTGTCCTCATCCAAATCTCATGCCAAATTGTGATCCCCGATGTTGAGGTGGGGCCTGGTGGGAGGTGATTGGCTCATGGGAGCAGATTTCCCTTTTTGATGCTGTTCTGGTGATAGAGTTCTCATGAGATCTGGTTGTCTAAAAGTGTGTGGCCTCCCGCCCCTGCTGCCCTTCTTGCTCCTGCTCTGGCCATGTGATGTGCCTGCTCCTCTTCTCCTTCTGCCATGACTGTTTCCTGTTTACTGAGACCTTCCTAAAGGCAGATACTTATCGGGGGAACCAGCCCCTAATATTTCAACATAGGTTCTTTTCTATTTTCCCTAAGTGTTGGCCAGTCTGAGAAATAAAGGGAAAGAGTACAAAGGAGAGAAATTGTAAAGCTGGGTGTCCAGGGGAGACAACACATGACGGCAGGTTCCGTGATGCCCCCTGAGTCACAAAACCAGCAAGTTTTTATTAGCGATTTTCAAAGGGGAGGGAGTGTATGAATAGGGTGTGGGTCACAGAGATCACATACTTCAAATGCAATAAAATATCACAAGGCAAATGGGGGCAGAGCAAGATCACAAGGCCAGGGTGAAATTAGAATTACTAATGATGTTCCATGTCCCACTGTGCACACATTGTCATTGATAAACATCTTAACAGGAAACAAGGTTCAAGGGCAGAGAACTGGTCTGACTAGAATTTGCCGGTCTGGAATTTCCTAATCCTAGCAAGCCTGGGGGTGCTGCAGGAGACCAGGGCATATTTTATCCCTTATCTTCAAGTGCATAAGAGAGACACTCCCAGAGAGACCATTTTAGAGGCCTGTCCCTGGGAGTGCATTCTTTTCCCACGGCTGTTCCTTACTGCGAAAAAGAATTCAGGTATATTTCTCTTATTCGTTTTTGCGAGAAGAGAAATATGGACTCTGTTCTGCCCGGTCCTGCAGGCAGTCAGACTTTATGGTTATCTCACTTGTTCCCTGAAAATTGCTGTTATCCTGTTCCTTTTCTACATGCCCAGATTTCATATTGTTCAAACACACATGCTCTACAATTAATTTGTGCAGATAATGCAATCATCACAGGATCCTGAGGCTACATACATCCTCAGATTATGAAGATGATGGGATTAAGAGATTAAAGTAAAGACAGGCATAGGAAATTATAAGAGTATTGATTGGGGAAGTGATAAATGTCCATGAAATCTTCACAATTTATGTTCTTCTGCTGTGGCTTCAGCTGGTCCCTCCATTTGGGGTCCCTGACTTCCCACAACAGATACTTCCATGCTTCCTGCACAGCCTGCAGAACCAGGAGCCAATGAAACTTCTTTTCTTGATAAATTACCCAGTGTCGAGTATTTCTTTATAATAGTGGGTGAATGGACTAATACACTACCCATGCTTAAAACTAGCTCTACCTCTGGACTTTTTAGTTCCATGAGCTCCTAACCCTCATTTGGACCCATGAGGCCAATTTATTTTCTATTCTTAGAATTTCAAGTTCACTTGGTTTATTACTTATACTCTGGGAATTTGCATATGAAGTTGTGAATATGTCAGCATTGTTTTTAACCCTCTTCCCTATTATTCTTTCCTGAGAGGGACTGGGAACCTTCCTTACTGTTGTTTGTTTATGCTATGTGGTGTTTGTTTTGGCTGTGACACTGAAGCTGAACTAAGATTGGGTGAGGGCTGCATGGAGGCACTCTGCCCAAGGGTGGGTGCTTCCTGGGCTAGATTGGGTGACATGGTCATCACAAAGTCATCTATCTGGGTTGCCATGATGCAGGAACACCACAAAAGCAGCATCCAGGAAACTAAGCCATGGCCAGGAGCTGGAAGTTAGCCTATCACCGGATGAAAGTAGAAAAGCAAGCCAGAGGGTGAAATGATGAGCAGGCAAGGTTGAAAATGAGGCCTTTGAGGCCTGGAGCAGAGCATAAGCAAGTAGGAGTTAAGATTGCTTAACTCTGAACACCCAGTAGGTGTTCTATACTAGAGTAGACACTTGAGGGGGGCCCACTGAGATAGGCAAGGGTATAGTGCATGTTTGAGTTTGTCTCTGTTCCACACTTGAATATCGTTCAACGTTGTCCTGAACACATCATCATTCTGCCAAGCATGTTAGTCCAATATTTACAAGACAAACTCTATCCTTTCCTAAGCCATTTATTTTTGCATAGTGTACTGTGGTTCAGAAGACTAAATCCAGTTCTTTGAAAGCATCCAGTGTTGCTCACTTGGAAAACATTCCCCTAGAGGGCAACTGGAACTGTTTTGGGGCATTTTTTGGTTGTCACAATGACTGGGGTGTGTTAACTGGCATTTCGTGGGCAGCAGGCACGGCTGTACTATTGGCCTACAAAATAAAATATTGTCCCTCCCAAAATAAAGGCAGTGCCCAACCTTGACTGAAAAGCTATGGGTATGCTTTAGAAAATTAACTTCCATTGCCTACTTCATAAAGGTGCCTTGACTTTCAAAGTCATGAGTTTCAATGGAAGAAGAGCTGAAAACACTACTTCTGCCCACAACTCAAGTTTGCTTCTCATGTGGATGGCATCTATTTACACTTGAATCACATAAGCCAAGTTTGGAAAACGCTGAAAATGTGTCCATCATGTTTCTTTTACCTCCCAATTGGCCATGCCAAGTGTACTCACAGCCACCTCTACCCCTGCAGAGGGGAGACATCAGTCACCACAATGAGAATCTCCCTTCTAGGGACAGCATGAAGCTTTAGTTGCCCACGGATTATGAAATGTTTGCTTCCATCTATTTTCAAAGCTCCAGATCCACCATCTATGGAAAAAGGCAATTCCTAATACATACAGTGGATTAAACCTTTTCCATTTATTCATTTAGTGTTTTATTCTTTCATTTCTTTAATAACATGCATGGAGTAAATGGCTTTTTGTTTGTTTGTTTGTTTTTTGTTTTTTTGAGACAGTCTCACACTGTTGCCTGGGCTGGAGTGCAATGGCGCGATCTTGCTATCTTGGCTCACTGCAACCTCTGCCTCCCAGGTTCATGCAATTCTCCTGCCTCAGCCTCCCAAGTAGCTGGGAAATCTATGTCACTCAAGGCCTTAGTGGGGAAAGGTGCACACCACCATACCTGGGTAATTTTTTGTATTTTTACTAGACGGGGTTTCACTATGTTGGCCAGACTGGTCTTAAACTCCTAACTTCGTGATCTGCCCACCTTGGCCTCCCAAAGTGCTGGGATTACAGGCATGAGCCACTGTGCCTGGCCGAGTAAGTGTTATGTACCAGACATGATGCTAGGTCTTGGGTGCCTTCTTTCCTTGTGCCTTGTGTTTTCCATTCACTGGTTTCTTGACATTCTTTGTGATTCTAGCTTCTTAGAGTTATTTTTCCTCCTGCTGCTTTCTGCAATCTTCTTGGCCATTATATCTAGGAACTCTGTCCTTTCTAGCCAGCCAGAATTTAGGAGACTGTCCCCCACGTGCTTTTCTCTCTAGCAAAATAGCTTGCATTTATAGCATAACTAATCCACAGGAAGGCAAACACGTGTGTGCCCTGCATGTCCCCAAACAGCTTAATTTCCTCAACATCCTACTCCTTGGGTTTTGGGTTGGGCTGAACTATAGCTCTTCATGGATTTGTTCTGGACCCTGGCCCTATAAATAGTTGTGATATTGGGACTATTAGCCACACTTGTTTACCAGGTCACATTTGTTCTTAAAGAATTCCTGGAAACTGCTTGTCAGCTACAGGCAGCTCTATATCTGCCTCATACTTAAGCACAGCTTTTTGGCTAGGTGATTGTGTGTTTGCTTGATATGCAAATTTTACAAACCATTGTTATTTACTATTAAAGAAATCCCTCACTCTGCTGATGGCAATATTGCCTGGTATTTCCCTTAGTTCACTTAGCTTCTTATGTAAAGACTATGTTCATTCTCAAAGGCTTCTGGTTCCAATACTGCTAAATTTCTTTAATTGTCAGAATTTATTAAAAGCCTCCTTGTCAAAATAGCATAACAATCAATCATTGTTGGGGAAAAACTTTAACTTAAAATAAGTGGCTGGCCACTTATCTCTTGTCTATTTGGTCTCAAATCTTCCTCCACGTGTTCGCATTTTATACTCTTCAAAAAATGCAGAGGTTTGAGGATGCATTGGATTGTTGGCTTTTATGGATGGCAGAGTTAATTTAATTCCGCAATGGAACTCCATGAATTCTGCCCCTATGGGTAGAAGGTGTTACAGGGCCCACAGGGACCCAACTTCAACAGCAAGGGATCTCATGGTTCAAAAACATGAAATTGGCAAACGAGAGTACAAGAGTGTACCTTTGTCTATTTTATATATTATATACATAATCAGATCCATCCCAAGCATATGGCCCTTGTGAGGGAAGATGCAGTCATTAAAGGCATTGGCTGAGGTTTGACCTGCTTCAATCTAACTTTCCATGTGCTCATAAAATTGGACTCTGCTCTGAGATAAAAGAATTCTGCTTTCTTCAAAGAGAATGCTCAGCGCTCCTGCTCCACTTTCAGGAGCAGCCTTCTGCTCTGCAGCCTCCCAGATCCAGGCTATAAAGAGTGCTTTTGGTTCTCACTTGAAGCAGCTGTATGTGAAAGAAGTAACTTCCTAAGGCAAGTTTAAAACATTCACCCAGGTTCTGTGGAAGAAATCTATGTCTCTCAAGGCCTTAGTGGGGAAAGGTGGAGACATGGTGGGAGCGGGGGAGAATTACATGCAGGAGCCAGGAACTAAAAGCAAAGACTAATGGGGAAAAAAGGGAAAGAGAGAGAGACATCAAGCTCCATTAAAAGCAAGATGGAAAATCTTGGAGAAAAGTGGAGAGAGAACTGCTGGAAGCTGTCCAAATCAACAAAATAGGGAGACCAAAGGAAAAAAGAAAGCACTAAACAGTAAAAAGGAGTAGGAACTACTTTTTTTTTTTTTTTTTTTGAGACGGAGTCTCACTCTGTCACCAGGCTGGAGTGCAGTGGCACGATCTTTGCTCACCTCCCAGGTTCAAGCGATTCTCCTGCCTCAGCCTCCCGAGTAGTTGGGACTACAGGCAGGAGCCACCATGCCCAGCTAATTTTTATATTTTTAGTAGAGATGGGGTTTCACCATGTTGGCCAGGAAGGTCTCGATCTCTTGACCTCATGATCCACCCTCCTCAGCCTCCCAAAGTGCTGGGATTACAGGAGTGAGACACCATGCCTGGCCAGAAACTACTTTTTCTGGTGTCCCCTGAAGTGTGAATCTTCACTATAAGTAATTGTGCAGTTGATTGTTGCCTGATTCTAAGGAGTGTCACAGTTTATTTATTTATTTGTTTATTTATTTATTGCTTACATGTATTTTCTTGAACATCTGAATTTTCAGAATTCTCTTCTCACTGTGGGCATAAGTGGCTAAATCTTGCTCTGAAATTCACAAAACAAGGTGGAGGCACTCTAATTTCTGATTCATACCAATGGCCTTGAAAGCCCCTAACTCAAGGCCTTGAAAATGCAGGGGACCCGTTTATTAACTGTGTTCTGAATAAATGAACTAAGAAAGTGATGTCAGTGTCATTTCCAGTGATGATAAAGTGAAAACACCCTTGCGTATCCTGCAATAATATAGCCTGGTTTAATGTTTTGCTGGTGGTTCTCACAAATAAGTGACAGGTGCAGAATAGATGTACAAAATCTTAAAACAATTTCTAGACTTGAGAATCATTGTCTTTGGATCTATACACATAACTGAACATGCTTTCAGTGGTCTCTTTTGAGTCTGGTTCTTGATAAACCTGTGGGGTCCCTGAACTAACAGTGGATACTCTCTTCCTCTGGACACCTGAACACGAGAGTCAAGTTTCTGCTACTTGCAGACAAAAGCTTCTTCACTGGTGTGACGTACTGAATTATTCTCCCCAAAATTCATAGGTTGAAGTCCTAATTCCCAATGTGGCTGTATTTGCAGATAAAGCCTTTAAAGAGGTAATTAAAATTAAATGAGGTCATAAGGCTGGGTCCTAATCCAATAGCAGTGGTGTCCTTATAAGAAGAGGAAGAGACCCAAGGATGTGCACACACATAAAAAAGGTCATGTGAGGTCAGGGAGAAGGGGGTCATTTGCAAGCCAAGGAGAGAGGCATCAGGAGAAACCAAACCTATTGACACTTTGATCTTGGATTTCCAGCCTCCAGAACTGTGAGGAAATGAGCTTCACTGTTTTAAGCCATTCAGTATATGGTGTTTTGTTATGGCAGCTGTAACCGACTGATACCACTGGTAACCCCACCTTCGTGACTTTCTTGCCTCTGTTGGAGTTACAGGGGCTTGACCTCCACTTTAGGCTGTTGGCATTAGACTTTCTGCATACGAATGAACTGAGATTCATGACACAAGGGAGAAACCAGGGCCTGGCCCCTGGCTAAAGACTAGGTGATCCATATATGCTTATAGACTATACAGAGAAGAAACTAGTGGGGAGGACTTCATAAAGGGGCCTCTGGAGCTTCTGAAGAAGCAACCTCATGTCTCGATCCAAAGAATAAAGCAAAATTTCAAGGAAGGATGGGAAGTAAGAGAGGTGAGGCAATAAGGGAGAGTAGAGGTGTCTCAGAGGTCATGACGAAAGTGGGTGAAAAACTTCGGAGGTTTTTACTATGAGTGGGTGAGCTAGCTAGTGCCCAGAAAGAAAAGGCAGTGGAGCTTGGAGAAAAGGAATTCTGGTGGCTGGTCTATAAAGGGATCCTGGAGTCTAAAATCATTGTTACTGTGAAACCACAGGCTTGGCATGAGATTTGAGTGTGAATCACTCAAAGGAGGGAGCAAGGGTTACACTCATCTCTGCCAGCACAGAAGCTTCAATTTTCTCTGTACAAGGCCCTGCTTAGTAAAAAGCCACTGAGCAACCCTCCATGTAGCTTCTCATTTTCCCATGCCCATCTCTGGGCATAGTGATGATGGACAGCAAGGGGGCCAGAGTGGCCCAAACACTGGAGAAAAGACCATATTCTACACCATCATAACCACCCTGTTCCTGACCCCAGGGTAAAAACATTAGCAACCAAGGTAGAGAGAGGCTTTAGTTATCATCAGGGCTGTCTTCTTCCCTCATTTTTTCTCTGGCTTACCCTAAGTCATTTCATGGAAGATGCCTGCCCAGGATTTCACACTTCATCTTTCATATAAAATAAACCTAGCTTCATCCTTTAAGGAGTTATCCCCACCTGTTTGCTGTCCTTCCACTTTCCATCCTTGCCAAATTCTCTATTTGCTCCTTTTTGGAATCCTTCTGGTTGCCCCAGCCATGACTGCTGACTGCCCTTACTGCCAAATGCAGCCTTCACGGGCAGTCTGTGTTGTTCAGCTACTTGGAGGAGTTTCTGGGGGGAAGGTCAGCCAGCTGTTTTCTCCACACCAGGAGAGGTTCCAGCTCTGAAGTCATTTTCCTTATGCCACCAACTCACCTGGCTTGCTTTGCAAACACTGGCTGCCCTATTTCATGGCATTGAAATGTCATGAGCCATACCTTGTGCCCTTCAAAGCTGGCTTCTGATGCTTTCTGCATTTGATGCCTTATCTGTAGAAGCTTCACATGCCCTTGGCATTGTTGCACCGTGGCTGAAAACACTGTCTTGGTATTCCAGAATACTTTGTGTCTCCTGTAACTAAACACAGATAAGATTGTCTAATTCTAGCATCATAAGGAAGGATGAAAGAACATAATTTAATAAGAAATGAGTTTGTTAGAAAGAAAGACCTGTTAACACAAGAAGCACAGTCTCGTGTTAAAATGAAGGTAGGCCGGGCGCGGTGGCTCACGCCAGCACTTTGGGAGACCAAGATGGGCAGATCGCAAGGTCAGGAGATCGAGACCATCCTGGCTAACATGGTGAAACCCTGTCTCTACTAAAAATACAAAAAGATTAGCTGGGCGTGGTGGCGGGCACCTGTAGTCCCAGCTACTCAGGAGGCTGAGGCAGGAGAATGGCATGAACCTGGGAGGTGGAGCTTACAGTGAGCCGAGATCGCGCCACTGCACTCCAGCCTGGGCGACAGAGTGAGACTCTGTCTCAAAAAAAAAAAACACAAAAAAACAAAAAAACAAACAAACAAAAAAATGGAGATGGTGGAGAATTTGAGAAGGCTTTCTGGAACCACAGAATTTGCTGTAGTTTCTTAACATCTGAAAGAATAGTTTTAAAGAAAGATAAAAATTGCCACATTAGGGGAGAAATTCTATATATATAGCAGTTTTAAAATATGCATTTGTTTGCACACACAAGTATGAAACCTCTTGGGTTCTTCTTCCTACAATTGCTTTCTATTTCACTCTAACTCAACAGCTGTAAATGGCTTTGGTAAATCATGCTAGTACATTTCCATTAACATTAGCAAAACTTATGTCAACTGCACTGACAACAACTGTCAGCCTTGAAAGACCCTAATCTTCTCTTGCACAGAGAACACACATCTGTGTCACACCTACGGTTTCTCATACATCACGGAACCATTTGTCTATCTCGTTTCCACTTTGTTGTCCTCTGGACTCAGAAGGCTCCTTGCTCATCAATCAGCTTTAGTGTCAACAGGGTGTATTCTGACTCCTTATAGGCTCCCCTGGTTACTCCCTCCTCTGGCACAGCTGGCTTTTTATATCAGTGAATGAGGTTTTCCTTGCAGAGCAGCTACATTTGTGTGCTGCGAAGATAGATGATAAATTGGCTTTGAAACTGCACCATACTGCATAACTTCAGGGTAATGTCCATTATTCCATCAACAGAATATTTTTTCCTCCTGAAGCACATGCAAAGGGCTTATCACTCCCGGGCATCAAGAATCATTACCCCAGGTTGGCAGTTTTTCTGCAAGTCACATGGCACCGAGTCTGTTCTATAGACCGGCTGGGTCGTCTCTACATTTGACCCAGCTGAGCCCCAGCCCCCACACTATTTGTAGATGAAGAATCAGCGATTTTTATTTCTGATATATCTATTATGGATGAATACTTTTATAAAATACAAAATAAAGTGCTTGGATGCTGTGGCAATTTGTCAGTAGCACATACAAGTTTGTAAGTGCTTGTTCTAACGTTCTGTACTTATTCAGAGAAGTGATGCAGTTAACTCATGGGCCAGGCCAGGTCCATGGACCACACTGTGAGTAGCATTCAGTCTTGGCCTGAGGGTCACACTATTCTAAGACTCATCCTGTAAAAACTACCATGTGATGCAAGATGTGCTCTCTCCTGTTTCCTAGAGCAGAATAGTTTTAGATCGACAAGGGAGGAAACAATTTAAACTTGTTTCTTATAGAACAGGTGCTGAAAGCATCTGTCTTTGTTGGAACCCTGAGTCACTGTGATCAAAGCGTGATGATGTACAGCACTCAGGTGAGAAAAAGAAACAAACTAACCCACGGGGTAGGAAACAAATCCACTAAATGGCTGCTCAAAATTGGAAAAGAGAATCACAACTAAAAGTATGGGTAAGTTAGAAAAAAATGGAAACATTTTATTTTAAAATTCATTCATTCATTCATCCATCCATCTATTGTCAAATATTTGGGTACCTACTCCAGTCTGGGTGTTGGACATATAACAATAAATGAAACTGATAAAGGTGATGCTTTCGTGGACTTTATGTAGAGAGCCTGAAGATGGTTACTAGAAAAAATGGGCATTGAAGATTTTAAAAGGCAGATTTTCTCCAGAAAAGCCTCCTTTATGGCGGTCTAGTAGAATAAAAGAACTAATCCCATCAAAATTGGAAAATATTGCTTGATGAAAGAGATTAAGAAAGAGCATAAGCCTGCACTTGTCAGTTACAAATCAATACTACTTAGGAAAAAACAATTTAAGGAGACTCATTACTACAATGGATTCCAAAGCTAAGAGTAAAAGTTTCTACACAAAAAAGAGGAAAACGACTACAGAACCAGAAGGGCCACTTAATAACCATGTTACAAAAGATGGTTTGAGACCAAAGAGAAGCATAGAGAGGATCAATAACATCTAGTTAGATTTCCGTATTGATGAAATTCACAACTCTACATTTTCTTTTGAAGCTAATCAGGCAAAAATATTAGAAAAATAGTTATAAGATCATAGGCTGCTCTAAAACTAAAAACCTGGGTATGAAAATAAATTCTTAGGCTCCTAAATTACCCACCCAAGAGTTTAGACATAACTGAAGGATGACATGAAATTTTTAGCCATCACGTATAATATGCAGGAATCAATAGCCCCTGGGCACTGACTGATTAGCTGAGGAGTGGCAGATTGTCAGAGGGACTTCCATTTATAAGATCTCCAAACGATGCCCAGGAACTGCAGTGAGAGAATCTCCCTTCCACAGCTGGCCAGGTAGTGGGGAAAATAACAGAGAAACAGAGAAAGCTCAAGGAAGCACCATGATTTAGAGGGGAGGATGTGTCTGACCTGTTTGTTAGACGTCATTAAGGCATAAAATTATAACTATCCTTTTTAAGGTTCAAAGAAGGTTACTCATACCTGATGAATACAGACTTACATCAGCCAATCTTTTTTTGAGATAGAGTAGTGAACTCTTTGTTACATCAGCGTATTAGAGACTAACTAGAATGTAAGTTCCATGAGAGCAGAGATTTTTGTCTGACTTGTTGCCAGGGGCTGTATCTCCAGCACCTAGAACAGAACTTTGCATATATTAAGTACTAAACTAGTATTTGTTGAATAAATTAAACAGGCCTAAGGAGAGTCAAGACTCATACTTCAGCCAAGAAATAGAGGTCCAGCAAAGTCAGCAAGAACAATAGGTGGAAACTTGTCCAGAGGAGGCAGGTAGATTAGGAAGCAGTAGGTGGGTTCCATAGATTTAAGTAGGCAGGAACCAGAGTGCAAGAGAGTTGAGAGTCAGCTAGGATTTCAGCCCTCTGACCTGAACACACACATCTTAAGCTTTACGTTGTTGGGTCCTGCCCATAGGTGTGGACAGTTTGGCTCAAAGGGCTTGAATGTTCCTGGAGCAGGTTGTATGTCTCAGATGAGATCTGTCTCTGTGTGGGGCAGAAGCAGAAATATCTGCCTTGTCTTATACACATGGAACAAGTAATTATACACAAGTAATCCCTCATGAGGCAGAGCTAAAACATACAGTTCTAGACACAGTTCTAGAAAAAACAAAAACATAAATAAAACCAGTTTTTCACCAGAATTCATTATTTAAGGGAAGTTAAGGGTACCAGTTGTATCTCAGGGAGGGCCATGAGGTGACAACATTATGTTCTGCTATTAAGCATCCCTGGATGATACTCTAAGAGAAATAATACTGGTTTGGATGGGCCACTGAAATAAGCTAGGGTATAGTAAGTAGCAGTTCCTGACTGCAGATGTAAGCTCTTTTAGAAGGAACACATAGCGAAGGAGGAATAAAATGGCAGTAACAATAGTAACCCATCAGTCAGCAGTGAAATGGAAGCCTGCCCTGTCCTGAGACTGTGAAAATTGAACAATGATTTGTTGCTTGCCTTCATGCCTCATTTACATTATTTTGTTTGATTCTCACAATAATCCTAATAGTGGATATCATTATATTTCAAAAATGAGAAAACCAGCTAAAAAGTGACACAGCTGGGATTAAAGTCGATGTTTGCACCACACCAAAACCACTGGCTTTTCCACTATACTTCATTGTAATTGCTGATCAAACTGTTGAAGCTAAAGACAAAGGGAGAATCTCGCAAGCAACTAGAGAGAAGTACAAGAGATTCTTAATAAGACTTAGAGCTGACTCCTCATCAGAAACCATGAAAGCCAGAAAGCAGTGGAATGCTAATTCAAAGTGCTGAAAGATGAAAAACTGTCAATCAAAAATTCTATACCCAGCAAAACTATCCTTCAAAAATGATCAAGAAATTAAGACATCTCCAAATAAACAAAATCTGAGAGAGTTTGCACTACTAGACGTGCCCTACAAGAAATGTTACAAGGAGGCCTTTAGGCTGAAATGAAGGGACACCAGAAATTTAATCCACATGAAGAAATTAAGAACACTGGTAAAGGTAAATAATTACATAACAAATTATACAAGACAATATTAATGTATTCTTTTGGTTGTAAGTCCTCTTTTTCCTATCTGATCTAAATGACAACTACATAAAACAATAAATATAAATGTATGTTCATGAGAACATATGCACAAAGATGTGATCTGTGACAATAGTAACATAAAGTGAAGTATGGAGCTGCACAGCAGCAAAGTATTAGTATGTAAATTTTTGAAACACAAAAACTGCCAAAACTTATTAAGGAAGAAATAGGAAATCTAGATTTTTCAAAAAAAGAAAACTCAGGACAAGATTTCTTCACTGGTGAATTCTACCAAATATTTAAAAAAGAATTAACAACAGACATTTAAAAATACTTCAATAGAAGAGGAGACTAAGTTAGAACACTTCCTAACTTAGTCTAGGAGACCAGTATTACTACAATTCCAAGCAAGACAAATACATCACATGAAAAGAAAACTACAGACCAGTATCTCTTGTGACTATAGATGCAAAAATCCTCAACAAAATACTTGCAAACAATCCAACAGCATGTTAAAAAGATTATACACCATGGCCAAGTGGGATTTATCCTAGGGATGCTTAGTTGTTTCAACATATGAAAATCAATCAATGAAACACACCATATTAATAGAATAAAGGGGCAAAATCATAATCAACTTAGAGAAAGCATTAGAGAAAAATCCATCCCTTTCATGATTAAAAAAAAAACACATAGAAAACTACTGAAAGTAGAAGGAAACTTCCTCAATATGATAAAAGGCATCTATGAAAAACCCACAGTTGGCATCACACCCAGTGGTGAAAGACTGAAAAGAAAACTTTCCCCCTAAGGTCAGAAGCAATCAAGGTTGTCAGCTCTTGCCAATTTCTATCAAAATTTCAGCTGCCTTTTTTTCTTTTTTTTTTGCAGAAATTGACAAACTGATCCTAAAATTCATATGGAAATTTGAAGGATTCAGAATAGCAAAAACAATCTTGAAATAGAACAAAATTGGATTACTTACAATTCATGATTTTAAAACTTACTACAAGGCTACAGTAATCAAGATGATGTGGTACTGGCATAAGGATGAGCAAATAAATCAATGGAATAGAATTGAGGGTCCAGAAATAAACCCTCACACTATAGTCAATTGATTTTCAATAAGACTGCCAAGACAATTCAATAGGGAAATAATAGTCTTTTCAACAAGGGTTGCTGGGACAACTGGATATCCACATGCAAAAGAATAAGTGTTGATCCCTACTTAACAACGTATACAAAAGTGAACTAAAAATAAATCACAGACCTAAATATGAGACAAAACTATAAAGCTATTTGAAGGGGTGTAAATCTCTGTGAACTTGGGTTAGGAAATATTTCTTAAATATGACATAAAAAGCACAAGCACCAGGTACAGTGGCTCACACCTGTAATCCCAGCACTTTGGGAGGTCCAGGCAGGTGGATCACCTGAGGTCAGGATTCGAGACCAGCCTGGCCAACATGGTGAAACCCCATCTCTACTAAAAATACAAAAATTAGCCAGGCGTGGTGGCACACGCCTGTGGTCCCAGCTACTAGGGAGGCTGAGGCAGGAGAATCGCTCAAACTTGGGAAACAGAAGTTGCAGTGAGCCGAGATTGCACCACTGCACTCCAGCCTCGGTGACAGGGCGAGACTCCAAAAAAATAAAAAATAAAAAACAAAATAAAAAAAAATCACAAGCAACAAAAGGAAAAAATAGATAAGTTATAGTTTTTAAAATTAAAACTTTGGTACATCAAAAGACACTACCAAGAGTATGAAAAGACAACCCACAGAATGGGAGAAATGTTTGCAAATTCTATATCTGATAAAGGTTTAGCATCTAGAATAAATATTTTTAAAAACCTCTTACAACTCAACAAAAACAACCCAATTCAAAAGAGATGAATAGACATCTTTCTAAAGGTAATACAAATGACTAATAAGCACATGAAAAGATGTTCAACATCATTAGTCATTAGGGAAATGCAAATCAAAACAACAATGAGATACCACTTTATACCCCCTTAGGATGGCTAGAATTTATTTAAAAAGGAAAAATAACAAGTGCTGGTGAGGATGTGGAGAAACTGGAACCCTCAAACATTGTTGGTAGGAATGGAAAACATTGCTGGTGCAGCTGCTGATAAAAACAATTTGGCAGTTCCTCAAAAAGTTAAGCACAGAGTTACCACATGACTCAGCAATTCCATTTCTAGGTATATGTCCAAGAGAATTGAAAATATACGTTCATAAAAAAGTTATACACAGATATTCATAATAGCCCCAAAGTGGAAAGTAACCCTTCAACTGATGACCTGAAATGAAATATTGTAATGGAATATTATTCCATTATCCATTCCATAGAATGGAATATTATTCAGCCATAAAAAAGGATGAAGTCCCAATGAATGTTACAACATGGATGAACCTTGAAAGCATGCCAGATGAAAGAAGGCAGAACAAAAAGCCGCAGATTATATGATTCTATTTATATGAAGCATCCCAAAGAGGCAAATCTATAGAGACAGAAAATAGACTACTGGTTGTCAGGGGTTGAGAGGGAGAAATTCAGCGGTATGGGGTTTCTTGATAAGGCCATGGAAATGTTCTGGAATTAAATAGTGGCGATGTTTGCACAAGATTGTAAATATACTAAAAACCAGCTGGGTGTGTTGGTGCAAGCCTGCAGTCCCAGCTACTTGGGAGGCTCAGGTGGGAGGATCACTTGAGCCCAGGTGTTTGAGGCTGCAGTGATCTATGAGTGTGCCACTGGACTCCAGCCTGGGCAGGAGTGAGACCCCATCTCTTAAAAAAATCACTTTACTAAATTATGCACTTAAAATTATTAAAATGATAAGTTTTATGTTATGGAAATTTCATCTCAATTGAAAAATTTTAATGCAACACTTTGCATTGAACTTGATGGATTGTAGGCAAATTTGAATATTCAGGTCCTCTGGCTACTGCTGGAGAATGGATTGCTGAGGGTGGCTCTTTTAATTTATCTTAAAATCAGAATTTAAAATAAATACAATGATGAGGCCAAGTTAGATTATATTTGATTGTATACCAACAGTCATAAATAATAATTTTAGATTTTTTTTTGGGTGGAGGGGCCCATGAAGGCAAAAGTGCCTGGAGACCACTGCAGTCATAACGTGGCACTGGCTCCAGGAGCAGAGGTAAAGTGATATAGATGCATTTGAGAGATGTCTAGACGATAAAAACTGATAGGTTTGGTGTTGGATGTGGGGATTACACAGCTGGAACCATCCAAATGGTTCCAGCATTCACCAAATGGCGGTGTCTGCTGCTGAGATGGGAAGCATCGGGAGAAGACTGAATTTGGGGAACAAGGATGAATTCAGTGTGGCCACGCTTAGTCTGAGGTGTGTCCGTGGTGCTGGAGGATGCAAATGGACAACTGTGTGTAAACCCTATGTGGTCAGATTAGCAACTTAGCTCTCCACAACTGGGACATGAAAATTGCTTTACTAAACAGAAGCTTCTCTTGATATGGCATTCATGATGCTGGAATTATACCTGTCCTACATTTATCATAGTAATCTAAGGTCTGGGAGCTGTTTGGAGATATCTGAAGAAGCATCATTCTTTTGCTGAAATGTGCAAACTCTACCAGTTCTGATTATATTTTGCAAGATGTGGGGAAAAAATGTTGAATTAAAAATTTTTTTAAAAAGAAAGAGAAGAAAAACAAAAACAGTTATTCACCCAGCTCCTTTTTGCACATTTAGGCAGATAAATACCATGAATACTGAAGCATAAACAACAAATTATATTAAACAAGCCATGCTACGTACATCTCCATTGGAAACACATTAGAAAATGAAACTCAACAGCTGCCAAATGTACGAAATGATCAGATCAGGAGGAAGTGAATGTCTTTTTGAAGCTCTCCAAAAGGATTTTGTAACTGAAGCATTAAAAAAAAAAAAACAGAGATAATATGCATTTGACAGTGACCTTAGAAACATCTTAAATATCTTTTGACATCTTCAGTTCATGTTTCAGAAAAACCGTTGTTTCTTCAATTATATCTGATAATGTGGTACATTTTGTAAATTACAGAGAAACCATGGCTTTTGCAAAACGCTTATGTATAGAAAAGATATGGCACCCGATTTAGTCATTTTTGTAATAAAATAAAACCTGACCCAACATATCATAATAAAAGAGCAACTGAAGTAGACCAGATTAATCTGTCCCCGAGAAATGCCCGACTCATCTTTTTCCTGAAGCATCAGCAGAAGTGTGGTTTTCTTTTGTAAAATTAACTCCACATTAAGAGTCTTTTATCTTTAAATTTCTTCCTGGCAATTATTAATTTGGGAGATCAACCAGAGCCATAAAAATCTCCATGCATTTAGATCTAACCATCGCTTTTATTCCTTTTGACGCTGATGCCTGGGGTAATGGTCAGGCCAAAAACAATTAAGCAGAATGTAGGTCAGTTCACCAGGTGATAAATTTACCCATCCTTTGGATCCTCACTGAAGTTTCTGAGGCTAACACAATGGCAGGTACTATTTTGAGCATAGATGAAAGAAAAGGATCTTCAAAGAACGTGACTGCAGAATGCCCAGCGTGTAGTGAGCACATGCTAGAGAGGCCTGCAGCAAGGGGCGCTCAGCTTCAAGAGAAGCCTGCTGTCCCAGAAGCAGCTGGGAAACTCAGAGGCTCCATCTGCCAACGTGGCTCTTTTTAAAAGCAGAAGGAGAGAATGCATAGTGGAAAAGACTGACTGATTTTTGAGTTTGACTGTTTTGTGGAGAGCATTGGACTGGGAGTCAAGGGCTAGATTCCAGACCCCGCCAGGCCCCTAAGCTGCTGTGTGTATGTAGCAAGCATTTTGCCTCTCTGGGCCTCAATTTCCCTCATGTGTATATGAGGGTGTTAGTTGATCTTTCAGGTGCACTTCATAGGCATCCATGAAAATCCTGATGGTCTAAGAATCTGCAATACTTTCTATTAGACGTTTATTTTTTTCAATAGGATAACAGGCAGAATAATGGCATCCCAAGTATATTCCCCTCCTAGTACCTGCAACCTGTGAATATCTTTCCTTACATGACAGAAGGACTTTGCAGATATAATTAAGGATCTTGAGATGGAGAGATGACTCTGAATTATCCTAGCAGGGGCAGTGTAATTGCAGGGATCCTTACAAGAGGGAAGCAAGAGTGTCAGGGTTAGAGAGAGAGAAGAGATCTGAAGACACTGAGCTGCTAGCTTTGGAGATAGAAGCCAACACATGCAGCTGGCCTCTGGAAGCTGGAAAAGGTAAGGAAATGGATTCACCCCTAGAGCCTGCAGAAGGCAGTTCTGTCACCCCATTCGAGACTTCTGACTTCTAGAATGGTAAAATAAGAAATGTGTGTTGTTGTAAGCCTGTTAGTTCGTAGTAATTTGTTACAGTAGCACTAAAAACCAGATACACCTAGCCTGCAAGAACTTGAGTTTCTGCATCTTCCTTTCTGGTAGTGTGGTTAAGTAGTGCAGTAGTAGCTTGGCCTGCTAGAGTCCATCCATCCTTAAGGAAAGGTTGTTTGTTTGCAGGAGAGATCGGAAACCACCTGAGAGGATGAGCAATGGGCAATGGAGGGGCACGAAACTCTCAGCCAAAGAAGACATCTTTTTGTTTACCTAAAGCCAGGGAAGTCTATGAAGGTCCCTTCTCTGCACAAACAGGGGCCCTTAAGTGGGTGATTTGCACCAAAGGCTGACACAGTGAAGGTGGCTCCATCGACAGTCCTACCTTGGTCAGGTTTGTACAGCATCAGTTGGAACAGGAAGAGCAAGAGCAGTAGAAAGGGAACTGCAAACTTGGTGTGGCTGCCACAGGAAACATTCCCATTCGGGAATGAAATTCAGAAATTGTAGACAGGCAGAGAGACAGGCAGAGACTATACCTGGTTCATGTATCAGTGTCAGAAAAGGTCTGTTCTGGCAGGCGCAGAGTGCATACTGAGATGGCCAACACAAATGGGGAGGAACAGTACAAGGAAATACGAGAAAATGGACCAGACAGGAGAGACATAATAACCTAGTACTACTCGCTAAATGGCTGCAATAATGCTTTCATGAGAAGGGATCAATGGTTAACACCTGGAAGTATTTTAGTTTTATCACTGTAGTCATTATTTTATAGGTTCATTATATTTAGACGTGGAATGCTTCGGTTAACCTCCAGTGCAGTTCATTTAGAAGTGCGTGTGCTGTGATCTTTTCCACTGGCTCAATCTTTTGTATTTATAAAGCTCTGGATCTATTCTGCCCTTTGTTTTGTTTAGTAGAGGCATCTTAACCACGTAGACCCGAATAACGTGAGTTGTTTTCAAGAAAATGCCCTAATTAGGCAGATGAGGTGAAATGACACCCACCTAAGGGATCAAGACTGTTTTTCTTGTCAGGCTAGAAAGTTTGACCAAGGCTATTTCCAAGGCTGCGTAGAACACTGGGGTGTGTGCAGAAAGTGGGGAGGCTGGGGAGAAGTGGCTGGCAGGGTGTGGGGAGGAATGTTGCTGCAGAGGGGCAGCAATTGAAGCAAAATCCGAAGTGACTACCGGGTTCTAGCAAGGAAAACAGTCCAGTACTGGGTTGTTATCCACGTGGGCCAGGCAAAGATAGGGCGTCAAATGAAATGGGGCAGAAAGCAGCCAGAAAGAGGAGGGTCTTGAAGTACCCTGCAGCAGCCACACCAAGTTGGCAGTTGTATTTCTATTGCTCTTTCTCTTCCTGTTCCAACTGATGCTGTACAAATCTGACCAAGGTTACGACTGAAGACGGAGCTACCTTCACTGTGTCAGCCTTAAATGCAAAGTCAGGCTGCAATGTTGGAGAGTGAACCTTGCACGTGGCCTTTAATTTGGTTCTAGTGTTATGGTTGTGGGCAGGCTGGGAGTACTAAGAGGGCTCAGGGGAAGGGACAAACAATTTTTTAGTTCAGTGTACCAACACATGCAGTGATCACGGAACAGGTGTTCAGTAGTAACTTGTTGATGGATAATACACCTGAGTAACAGAAAGCCAGCTTAGGGTGTGTCCGTGTACACTGAGTTGGTTTGAGACACCAGGGCAGAGGCCCAAGGAAGATCTCTAGCTAAGGATTTCTTGAGGCCCACCTGGCCTAATGCACTAAATGATTAAACAGTCCTATGTACCAGCTGTGGCTGTCAAAGAAACATTTAGTGGTGTTGCCCTGGAACTGTCAAGGCTGATGGCATTCACAAATCTTCCCAAGAGAGTATCCCAACAACTCTTGTTCTAGCAAAGAAGACTCCACTATTTCCTGCATAGCCACAGTGTCCAGAATAACATGCCCCCAGGGAAGAAGGGCCCACCAAGAGAACTCAGATTGCTCACCCACCCACGCTTTGGACAGATAGACAGGAAACGTTCATCTATTGAAGGCAACACTTGGCAGAGTGTATCGGAGGGAAGCAAAGATTTCTGGAGAAATCAATTGATATTTAGTCAACATTTGAAAGTGCTTAGTAAAAGGGCTTAAGCAAAGACTAAAATTTGTTAGTAAGAAGAGCCTTGATTCAAGGAGGCATTCCAGAGCAGACTACGTGCTTACACGGGACAAGGAGTGTGTTTGGGATTATTTACATTGCCATCAGATGTTTGCAGGACATCACTGAAATGATTGGAAAAGGAATGTCAGAGTCTACCCCAAATTGCTTAGATTCTTCTATTGTGTGTAAACATGCGTAGTAAATTCCATTGTTCTTACTGCTTAAGTCTTTGTTAATTGAGTCTCTTTGTTGGTTTCATGAAGTGCCGAGTAAAAGTACTCTTTCTGGTATTGACAAATATAGGCTCCTGAACTGTGGGTGCTGCGGACTCTCAGATTCACTATCCTACTCTTCAAGTGGATGCTGCATTCTCAGGGAGGCACTGTCATACAGTGCCATAGCACAAAAGCTTGGCAGAGAACTTGGATCCATGGTTGTCCCTCCCTCTTCATAGCTTTGTAATGCTGGGCAGTGCCTTCACTTCTCCACGCTTCAGTTTTCTCATTCTTAAAAGGGGAGCTGATATAGTACCTCCCTCTGGGACGCCTATGAGGAAAAGCTTAGTAGATGCATACAAAATGCCAAGGAAAGTAAGTGGCCAGCTTAAAAGAGGCACTCACTGTTTCCTGGTTATCCTTAATAACTAGTCTGAACATGGGTTGTTTCTGCCTTAGTGTTCCATGTGATAATCAGGTCACCGTAAGAAGTTGTGAGTTCAGGCTGGGTGTGGTGGTTCACGCTTGTAATCCCAGCACTTTGGGAGGCTGAGGCAGGTGGATCACCTGAGGTCAGGAGTTCAAGACCAGCCTGGCCAACACGGTGAAACCGGCTGTGGTGGCGGACACCTGTAATCCCAGTTACTTGGGAGGCTGAGACAGGAGAATCGCTTGAACTCAGGAGGCAGAGGTTGTAGTGAGCCGAGATTGCACCACTGCACTCCAGCCTGGCCAGTAAGAGTGAAACTCTGTCTAACAACAACAACAACAACAACAACAACAACAAAGTTGTTGTGAGTTCAGAATCCTACTCCAGAGTGGTTGCTTTGTGGAAGAGTTGAGCAAGACAATGGAGCCATAACTACCAGATACTCAGTAAGCCTTAAGCACCTGTCCCTCTGCTTTCATGGCTTGGCAGCTTTCAGCATGTTCTCTGGCAAAAGCTGGCCCTATTTTGTAGGAGAGACTTAAACTACCTCCTCATCCTCTGCAGAGCCAGAGCATACCCTGGGGTCTGTGGAGTGATTAAATATGGAAAATCCAGGAAGGAAAATAATTCTTTTCTTTCTCACCATTGTGAACGTACAGCAGGTGACTTCCCAAACGCAAAAGGGAGCTGATGTCCACCCTTCACCCCTGCTGACAATATCAGGAGTACAGTGTTCACCTCCCAGGGAAGATGCTGTCCTTTGCAGACCAACAGAGCCCACCGGCTGTGAGGACAGGACACTCCCAAGCTGCGGACAGCATCCAGCGCTCGGTGATGGGCAGAACACTTAGCTTTCCATGCCCCAACCCTGATCTTGTCTCAAACAGGCCTTGTCCTGCTCTTGCAGAGCTGGATGCTGACTTCCTCTTCAGTGGCCCTCCAGGAGTGCCTTGTTCGTGTCCCTCTCCCTCCTGGCAGTGGAGTCCCAAGTGTACTCACAGCCAGGTGGGGCCACCAGAGGGAAGACAGCAAACAGCCCTGGCTGGCAGGAAGGGCCAGCTCTGCTTCCTGGGGAAGACTGTGCCTTCCTTGAGAACTCTTCTGAAAGATGATGCATTCTATCTTCTAGAAAGCAGTAGAGCTTAGCCAAAACATGGGAACTTTTCACTTTTTGTCTCCATGGGGCTAATGGGCTTGAGTGGGAAGAGGCAGATGTGGTGAAGCTCAGCATCAGCCTGGCTGATCCAGGGGGGCTCTTGCTGCCCCCTGGGCCTGTTCCCTGACTCTCCCCTCTCTCTGCCACTGCCAAACCCACCCCTTTCATTTCAATAACTCCTTAGAGAACTCACCAAGCAGATTCAAAATTCTTACCTCATTTAGCCTGCAGATAATCTTGTGAACATAGAAAGAGAAAAGAATAGTTACTGGATCGTTTACACCTCACACTCGTGCTAGGGACATGCAGAAGAACAGCTAATATGCACTCAGTATTCACCATATGCCAAACATTGCTTTAAATGCTTCTTAATACTTTTTTTTTTAACTTGCTCCTGTCAACAACCCAATGAAGAAGTGTAAGTATCATTATCCAGCCCTACCCTTCCATTTATTTATTTTTTGAGATGGAGTCTTGCTCTGTCATCCAGGCTAGAGTGCAGTGCATGATCTTGGCTCACTGCAAACTTGGCCTCCTGGGTTCAAGAGATTCCCCTGCCTCAGTCTCCCAACTAGCTGGGATTACAGGCATGTACCACCATGCCCGGCTAATTTTTGTATTTTTAGTAGAGATGGGTTTTCACCATGTTGGCCAGGCTGGTCTCAAACTCCTGACCTCAAGTGATCAATCTGCCTTGGCTTCCCAAAGTGCATGGATTACAGGCATGAGCCACCACGCCCAGCCCATTATTCCCTTTTTATAGATGAGAAAACTGAGGCCCTTAGAGTTTGAATCACTTATCCAAGGTGACTCAGCAAGCAAGTGTCCAAGTATGATTTAAACACAGCTGTCTGATGGCAAGTGTATGCTCTTTGTTATTACAATAATGCATCTCTTACAGGGTTTCAAATAACCCTTTTTGAACTCAGAGTTTCAAAGAATTACAAGTTTGTGATATAGGAAATCATTATTCACGTTGTACAGATGAACATCTAAGTGTCTTTCAATCATAATCTTGGTTTATGACTCACTTTCAGTATTGGTTTCAAGTATATCTTCATGTATTCATTCATTTATTTATTTTTATTTAATTAGCAGCTGTAATCTTAGCACCCGGGGTAACACTAGGACGTTGACAATGACTTTTATTGTGTCACCATCCCAGGACAGCCCATATCTCTTCCACTACCCAAGGAAAAGGCAGCCTTAACCCTGTGTTCCTAATTTTGTTCCTTTGGGGTTTATATAGTTTTATCACATCTGTATAAATTTCTAAAATGTATATTTTTAAATTTGGGGGATTTTTTTCATAATATAAAAAGATACAAAGCTGTAATAAAAGAAAAGAAAGGAGAGAAAAAGGACTTTTCCACAAGGCATTAACTTATGACCAACACTAGGTAAAGCTCAAAGGGAATCTGGTTTCATGGCTATGTATTTATAGAATTATTTTTTACTGAAAATTGTTTTTCAGATATTTTAGGAACCCACTGTGGGAGACTTCAAATGAGTGGGAAGGAAAGCAACTCATATCTCAGTGAAATTTTTATTAATCGGGAATTACTGTTGAGAATTTGGAAGACCTTATGTAAGATTGAGAGGGCAAAAATTGAAACATTCACATGAGGGCTCCATTAGAAAGTTTGAAAGGGCTTGAAGAGACATGTTAAAAATAATTCAAAAAAAGAGAGGAGAGGTAATTGCCAGATATGGAGGGTTTTTATATGGCCAGGGTGATAAAACAGGCTGGTTATTAACCTGGCAGGTAGAGAGAAAACCCATTGATGGTAATTGGGGAAATTAGCGCTCAGGATGTAATTCTTCCCCTTCCACCATTCTTTGGAGGAAATAAATGCTTTATTGAAGCGATTCCATGAGAATCTTTACAATTTCTTGGAAGAGTTGGTGATTCAAGAGGTTTTTGTGACTGCAAAACAGTTATTTAAATCATTTCCTGAGGAAAGAAGTTTGGAAGAAGATAAAAATAATTAATGCCAGTTTAGCTATTAGTGTGGGAATGATAGGGACTTAAAGAGGTGTTTACCAGCTGCACTCTACTTTATGTGGCTCAAAAAACAGTGTCACATCTTGGCAAACTTGAGAGCTGAGTTTCATGGTGGCAAATAGGAACCGCCCCCTTCCAAGTTCAATACCATGATGTGATTCTAGGAATGTTGCAAGAGATAAAATATTGTGTGTCAGGGCTTATGGTAGGAAAAGAACCAAAATCCAAGAAAATAGAACCTGAGTCAACTACGTTTCCCTTCCTGAAGGAATTGTATCGGGAGAGAGAGTTTTTTGTTGTTGTTGTTGTTTTTGAGACAGAGTCTCGCTCTGTTGCCCAGGCTGGAGTGCAGTGGCATGATCTCAGCTCATTACAACCTCTGCCTCCTGGGTTCAAGCGATTCTCCTGCCTCAGCCTCCTGAGTAGCTGGGACTACAGGCACCTGCCACTATGCCTGGCTAATTTTTGTATTTTTAGTAGAGACCGGGTTTCACCATGTTAGTCAGGCTGGTCTCGAACTCCTGACCTCAAGTCACCTGCCCGCCTCGGCCTCCCAAAGTGCTGGGATTACAGGCGTGAGTCACCATGTCTGGCTGAGATTTGTTTTTACTAGTGGTTTGTTGGTCGATGCTTTGAGTCTAACCATTTTGTACTTCGGTGTCCTACTTTAGGAGAGAATCTGAGCTTGTGACAGTGAACAGTGGAGAAGCAAAATCACTTTAGTACAGGACTTTAGTAGAGTGAATATGTAATAGTATAAAGCGGACTGAACACTTCTGGGAAACAGTAACACAAACCATAGCTGGACTGGATTTATGTGATTTCTTAGGTACGTGAAATAAGTGATTGTGACTTCACAAGCTCATTGGGTTAAGTCACAGAATTTTCACTCTGAACACAGAATGTAGATTATCATGTTTTTTTTTTTAACAAATGCTGCCTGAATTATGGGTATTTGTAACTTTGCTTAGCTTTTAAAGAGCCTATTCCTAATTTTCTGTTATACAGAAAACAGCTATGTGCATATTTGGTATTTTTTTAGTATTAAGTGCATACTGCCAGGTTCTTTTGCATTAAGTACTAGGATATTTTCCTTTTCATATCAGTCTGCTCTTGTCTAATCTTTTCAGTGGCATAATATTCTTGTGTGTGTGT
The DNA here is from genome assembly GCF_000001405.40 of Homo sapiens. Lineage (NCBI taxonomy): Eukaryota > Metazoa > Chordata > Mammalia > Primates > Hominidae > Homo > Homo sapiens. Next base: position 14,183,070 of record NC_000006.12, read on the forward strand.
GCGTGTGTGTGTGTGTGTATGTTTGAGAGTGTGTGTGACATCATGCCTACTTGTAGAGTGATAAATTAGGTGTCACTTTGAAGTAGTCACAATGTATCATGTTAGTAGTTTGCATTAAGTTGCCAGTTAATTAAATAACCTCTGTCTTTTACTGCAAAAAAACTTGAGCCTTATTAAGTTAGAAAATTTACAACCAATAGCATAATCAATAAAACATTAATAAACATGTCACCCCTGACAAACCTTTTATATTGATTTTCACATTCTTACAAAGCTTGCCCATAGCCTGAAATTTAAAAAAACCACCACCAGTAAAATGGGTGTAACATTAGCCAAATGTAACATTCCATAAAGCACTTTTGAAACTTTTATAGTTCTATTGGTTCTAATTATCTGGAAGTCTGCTTTCGAAATGGCTTCACCGCTGACAGAGTTTAATTCTGGAGTTCACTAGTGAGAGATACAACTAATAATAGTAGGATGTCACTGTAACCTTCATTCATAGGTGACTGCAGATTGAGGGAAGAATCGAGGCAATTTTCTTGCTAATCCAAATAACAACCACAGCTTCGGCCTTAGTCGTTTGAATTTTCAGGAAGCTATAATTATTTTCCATCTGAAATATCCAAATGACAGCTTTATGTTTCCACGTCTGCATGTAGAGACATCCATTTTTTGGACTAAGTGTTGGGGAGTTGGGTTTGAAGAGATACTGGGAGTGACTGACAAGTTGTTTCTCCTGCATGGTCCCTAAGTCAGCCAGTGAGAGCAACAAAGGTATTCCTGAACATGCACGTGAAAAGTCTGCATCGCTCTATGAAAAATTTGTGAGTTTGTGGTTCAGAGATCGAAGGCTGCTTAGGAAGGCTTGAAGAAGGATTCTGTCTTGTGTCTTCCCTTGTACTGTTAATCGAGTAAACGGGGTGCCATGTGGATGTGATGCCTACTTTCCTGCAAGAGGCAGCTCATGGGCGATTAGGCACCTCCCATCCCATGTACACTCAAGAAGCTGCATTGCAGATTCTCTGCTTAGTCCTGACTCTAGAAATGCATCAGAGGGCAGACTGACTCCCTTTGGCAAGTAGTGGAAATGATTTACCCTCCTGGCAGTTCAGTTTCCCATTTAGAAGAAAACCTCTATTTCGGAGGAAAAAAAAATCATATATTTGAAGGATGTACATAACTTGTCTGATGAAACTACAGTCCATGAATTCTAAAGTTTGACTCTTTCCAAGTCCCAAACACATTCATTCATTCATTGAATAAAACATGAACCAAGCGCCTGCTGTAGGCCAAATACTGCGCTTACTTTCTGATGCAAAACTTTATATAAATCCTCACCCATATGAAGACCTAAAACGGTTACAAGGAAATACTGGTATTTCAGCACTTTAAAGTCAAGTTGGGATCTTGGTTGGTGGTGACAGCAATCTCTTTGGCTGAGACGCTAGCAGGCTGCCCATGAGGTCTGGAGGACCATTCAGAGAGACGTGGTTGTCTCTTTGTATGAGTCATCTTCAGATGGTGCCCTTAACGAAGGCCATCCTGAATGATAATCTGCTCTACACCTAAGATCAATAGTCTCCTGTGCTCTTTGTGGAATAGTTATTTGTCATTTGAATGTAAAGTGACTACCTGGAGAAAGGAAAAATGAACTGAATTTTGTGTGAGCTGTGGGCTCACTTTTACTAAATATTAATATACTTAATAGTTAATCTAGAGAGGTTTCCTTTAGGATTTTCTGATGCTTCCCTCAGCCTCTCTTTCTATTTTCAGTGGTAACTATGGCAAACAGAAATGCTGAGCTCTTTAAAACTATGATTCTTGAGATGGAGATCGTTAGTAACACGAATAATTCAGTTGGTTTGGACATTGGAAAGCAAGAGACTTATATCCAAGCAAGAACCTTTAAAGAATATTTTATTTTATTTATTTGTAGAGACAGTGTCTCCCTATGTTGTCCAGGCTGGAGTGCAGTGGTGCAATCGTGGATTAGTGCAGCCTCAGACTCCTGGGCTCAAGCGATCCACTTGCCTCAGCCTCCTGAGTAGTTGGAACTACAAGTATGTGCCACCACACTTGGCTAATTCTTATTTTTTGTAGAGGTGGGAATCTTGCTGTGCTGCCCAGGCTGGTCTTGAACTCTTGGCCTCAAGTGATCTTCCTGCCTCAGCCTCCCAAAGTCCTGGGATTACAGGCATGAGCCACCATGCCTGGCTGAGAGAATTTTAGGACAAAAACTTCCCAGATACTGGGAACTGAAATGGGACAAAATCTACACTTGTTATGTGTCACTTGTTGTTTTAAATTGAATTATATATGCTGTACTGACAGGTTGAATAGTATCTCCCAAAAGCTATCCCCACATTCTAACCCCCCATACCTGTGAATGCGACCTTATTTGGAAAAAGAGTCTTTGCAGATTTGTCTAAGTTAAGGATCTCAAGATGAGGTGATCCTGGTTTACCCAGGGATGCCCTAAGTCCAGTTGGAGTGTCCTTATAAAAGACAGAGAGGAGAACACAGGGAGAGAAAAGAAGTCCCTGCGGAGATGGAAGCAGAGATTGGAGTGATGCAGCCACAAGCCAAGGGAAGCCTGGAGCCACCAGACGCTGGAAGAAGTGTGGATTCTCTAGGGGTTGGATTCTCCCCTAGAACCTTTGAAGGGAGCATGGCCCTGCCCACACTATGATTTTGGACTTCAAACCTCCAGAAGTGTAAAGAAATGAATTTCTGTTGTTTTAAACCACCCAGTTTGGGGTAATTTGTTTCAGCAATCCTGGTAAGGTAATACACCTAAGCTTCGGAATGACCCTAGATTTTAGGTATGATTATGATCATAAGTTATCTTACAGCTAAAGAACCTGAGGTGCAAGGACACTGAGTGACCTGGCCAAGGTTTCCTGGCTCCTAAGTGGCTGTCACTGGGTGGCACCAGGCCGCTGGGCCTCCACAATCCATGTGCATAACCACTGTGTCCCAAGTTCCCAAACAGACACAGCTTTCTAAGCTATTGACCCAAACCCCTGTCTTTTTTAGACTCCTCTAGCTTCTGCTTCAACTTATTTTTTAAATTGCTAAATGCAGAAAACTTGGGCAACTCAGAAAAGAAGAAAACAAAATGCAGAAAGTGTCCACAGTTACACCTCCCCAAGGGAACCAGTGTTTACATGTTTGTAATTTACACCCCCCTCCCTGAAAACGCACACCCACACATATTTTACTTGAAAGCGGTGTGTTTTAGTATTCATCATGATTCTCAGATTTCTTAGTAAAGTTTCAAAAACAACACGTAGGATTACCATACCAACTGTTTATTTTGCCAACTAAGGCCACTGAAACAACAGCAAAACAACCAAGAAAACCTACCATCCAAAAATCACCATCATTGTATAAAAGAAAGAAAGCTTAACTTTATAAAAGCAAGATTATAATCTCAGAATAAAGAATGGGACTCTAAGTTAAATATATTTAACTGTGTGAAAAACCCAATACATTGCCCTTATTTTTCTCACGATGCCATAGACCAGCAGAAACTTCATTGTAGACCTGTAGTGGTCCATGGTCTAACCCCGTGCTTCTCAGCCTCTACTGTGTTCAGAGCATTCGGGCCTCTTGCCCAAATGCAGGCATTTTTCTTTTTTCTTTTTCTTGGAGACAGAGTCGCCTAGGCTGGAGTGCAGTGGCGTGATCTCGGCTCACTGCAACTCCCCCCCATCCCCCACCCACCCCGGGTTCAGGTGATTCTCCTGCCTCAGCCTCCCAAGTAGCTGGGACTACAGGCAGCCATGCCTGGCTAATTTTTTGTATTTTAGCAGAGATGGGGTTTCATCATGTTGCCCAGGCTGGTCTCGAACTCCTGAGCTCAGGCAATCCACCTGCCTTGGTCTCCCAAAGTGCTAGGATTACAGGTGTGAGCCACGGTGCCCGGCCCCAAATGCAGGCTTTGATTCAATAAGTCTAGGGTGGGGCCTGAGATTCAGCATTCTAACAAGCTCCCTGGAGCGGCTGATGTTGCTGATCCGTGGCTTTTCCTTCTATCCGTGGATGGCCAGGCCCTAGACTGGCCTTTGTAGTCTGATTTATTTTTCTTTCAGGAATCTATTGTGAACATTTTTACATATCAAGAAACATTGGTCTACAGGATGACTTTTAATGGCTGCATTTATATAAGTCATGTGAGCGTCTATCTTGATTTAGTGATCCAATTTCCTATTGTTGATTATCTAGGTTGTTTTTAAATTTTCTTCTCTTTCTTTTTCTCTTTCTGTCCCATTACAAATAGAGCTGAGATGAATATTCTTGAACCTACACATTTGTGCACTTGTCTGATTAGTTCTTTAGGAAATATTCTAGAAATAGAGCTACTGGTTGAAAGGACAAGCATATCTGATAAGTACATTTTCAAGGCATTTAACATGTTTTCCTTTCATCCTAAACAAGCCCTTAAGTTGGAAATTATTCTTCAAGTCTCATTGAGCCTCGGGGAGCTCAGTGCTTCATGAAAGTCTGAGGCAATCACAAGAGTGTGGGAGGTGCTGGAATAGGAGAAGTCCAGGCAGTGAGAGGAAGGTGGGTCAGGAAAGGCTTCTGAGAGGATGCCACATCTAGACAAGGACTTCCAGAGTCTGTCTGTTCACAGCTGTGCTCAACGGTGCCATATTAAACGCATGCATGAGAAAGAATTCCTAATAGACTTTATAGCTAAATGATTTTTTTGCATGACTAAATAGCATCAGCTGAAATATAAAACATAAAACAAGCTCCTCAAAATGAATCAAAGCAAAATAAGAGAATTTCTAATAATTTATGAGGCCTGTTTATTTCGACACCCTTTAAGTAGGCATAGGAAAAAGATGAGGAAATGATCGTATTTTGTAGCAATTAATGAGGTCAAGTTATGAGACTCTGTCATCAAGTTTAATTCATATCTTCTTTCTTTAAAATTGACATTTTTGCACTTGACTCCTTATAGTAACCTATAGAAGATTTGGGAGAAGAGTGGAATATTCATTTTTTTTCTTATGTTAAAATTTTGTTTTTTAGAGACAGGGTCTCACTATGTGGCCCAGGATGGTCTTGAATTCCTGGCCTCAAGCAATCCTCTCCCATCAGCCTCTCGAGTAGATGAGACTATATGCTTGTGCCACCATGCCTGGCTAAGAATGGAATATCCTAACATGGTCTTAACTCTCTTTCATGGGCCAACTACCACATCTGAAGGAACTTCTCTCAAATACTGTGGCCTGGGGCCAGTAGGCTGGCCAAAGGGCTCCTCAACTGCAATCCTGTCAGGTAAAAACAGATCCTCCTTCTGGGATGTGGCCCTACCAAAGGCAGCAGAATGACCCCCAAAGACCTCTTGAGGTTCCTTCCACACAAGGATTCAAGAATTGTCAATGGACGCCTCTGTGAGAACAGCTAACAGCTATCCAGTGAACAGGTAGTTGGGAGTAGAGGGGAAATGACAGAAATCAGAGTACAGGGAATTCCACTATGCCCTGGTTTTCGAGAAAAATCATGGCAAAACATTCCGGAGCACCAACATTATTCTGCTTCCACGATACTAAAGGACAATTCTTTCATTTTATTATTACCTTGTGCATTGCCCTGCCCCAATTATTAACACTTTCACGACACAACACTGGATTGTTCAGATGAACAAAGTACGTTAGTTTGTAATGTAGTGAAGTGGGCATATTGTTGATGGTTCTTCACCAGGGTTGACAAATATATGACACAAATGTTGCAACATACAGCAACCTGCTGCCCTCCCATGCTGGTCTGATGCCCTGGCAGACATTGCTAATCGGTCACTACACTCTTCCTAAATCCATCCCGGATCGCAGAGCCTCACTGAGACTCAGGGTTGCTGGGTGGTACCACTCCAGGAGGCACCAGTTGTATTATACTCTATGGGAATGTACCTCTGCTGTCATAAAATGGGGTAGCCCTGCCGTTGTGCATAGAACATAGTAGACACAAAATAAAAATTCATTGAATGAACCAGATATGACCTCTGAATCCTTCTCAACATAACACTTCAAACAGCCACTACAAATTGATTGGATTTGGCATGCAAGTTGAACCTATTTGCTATTCCTGCTTTAAGGAAACACAGTAAGAGGCTGCCAACATGAAACATATTTAATCATCTTTGCACAAGTGTGTGTTGGGTACATGCATAATGTGTATGCAAATACAGTTTGCTTAGAACATGCAACTCTCTCCTCTCCCTCCCTCCTACTCCATCCCTAAATATACAATTTCATAAAAACCACACCTGCAACTGCTTATTGGAATGGGAAGGGCTCCAACTTATGTTCTCAAATTTATAACACTTGCCTGTGGATTTCTAAACCGCGGTTCCTCTGATAAACTACAGTGCCTGGCAGAAAGGTACAAAATATTTCTATCTGGGCCTAACGAAGTTTTCCTTGGCTTTCCAACCCGGGTTGATTAAACCCATGTTTGTGGACATTGCTCTTTTCTTTCTCCCTCCCCGTTTGGCTTCATACCTGTCCCTTCCACTGCTCCCATCGCATTAGACTAAGAGAAGAACCAGACACGTTCGGTACCAAAGAGGTCATCGGCAAATTCCAAAATTTGTTAAAATTTTTGTAAAAATTAGTTGAAAAAGTAACAGGAAAGAGAGGCAGGATAAGCACGTTTTGTATTCATCTCCCAGGGTTTGCAGTGTTGCTCAGCTTCACGATGAAATGGGAGATGCACTATTTCACTGGCCATGAAATAGAAAGTTTCAAAATCCTGTTGTAAAGACAATTTCAAAATAGACACCTCTCAATCCCATTCCCCATTTACCGTTTTTGAAAAATAGCATTAATTTACAAATGTTCTGTTCCTAATCAGTCACACGGAAAACCATCCTGCCTTCACATTTATCCTTTTACCTTATGTCCCCTCAGAAACCATTTAGGGGAAAAAAGGTCTTAAAACAATTCCATTCCATTACTTTCAGAAGCTTATACCGAGTTTACAGTTTTGACAGTGTAATTGTCTGTCCCTGAGCCTATGGCCCCTTTTGCTAAAGAGCAGAAGGAAAAATCTTATCTTGACCAAAAAGTAAACAATATCAGGCAATAGTAGAAGGAAAGATAAATATTTGGGATAGATAAATGTTGGTTTGATTCAGCTAGGACCATAGCTTTGGGTTATTAAAAGAGCCTCAAGTGGATAAAATTTGGCCCTAAATTTTGTAGTGAGGTTAGCACTACCCTATGGGAAATGCAAAACACTTTTCGCTTATTTTGGTTTTGGAAAATGTCATAGGAAACACATTTAAAGTCCATTAAATGCGATTGGAGTTGACAAGATTCATTCTGGTGAAAGGCTGGGTAAAGCCAGAACTAAAAGTTTCCCATCAGCTCAGACAACCTTAGCTAGTAGTTGATAATATGTGTTAAATTAGTCAAAATGGAGACAAAACTAGTGACCCCCTTGAGAACCAAAATAGCTCCTTAATGAAAGAAATGGAGTTTAAAAATTAAATAGAATATTGGCTGATGTACATTTTGGAGATTATAAATTTGCAAAATCCCCTTATGTCGTTATTAGTTGAAGTTGAAATTGCCAAATGGGCCCCTGGAGATGTGATAGGAAGGCACATGTTGGAAGATCTGAAATCTTGCTCCCTCTCTGAAGGAAGGGTGGCTCAAGCCATGTGCAGCGTGAGCTGGAGGCTGGATAGGGTCGAGTAAACTTTGGGTTGGTTTTCTCACAGTTTTTGTTAATGCGTGTTGAGTGTTGTCTTTCTTTCTCTCCAATTTTCAGACATGGGGCCCTTGGGAGCAGTAATCCTCCAGCCAGGCTTTCTGAGAAGGTTCACATCCAAGTAAAACATGAATTTTCTGAGCCAATTTGATAGGCAATTCGTCTGAACAGAGCTCTTGTTTTGCCAACAGATAGAAATGAAGCTGAGAGTATTACAATACCCAGGGCAGGGAGAGTATTAAAGCTGTGACAGAGACTGAGGCAGGCAACTTCACATAAGCAGAGGGTAGGGAGGCGTGAGGATGGGAAACCACCTTCCCGGGAGTTGACAGGCGGCTGATGGCGGCTCTTTCATTACAACCTCACCACCAATCATTAAAGGATTTAGGAATTATAGCAAAGTGGTACTTTTATCCGTGAGATTTAGGCGCTTCTCCATGTCATCTCTTCTGTACCCCCAGCACCTAGAACATACAGTAGGCTCTCAATACTGGGTACTATTGAGTGTTGGAAAGAGCACAGGTATGGTTTAGCACAGCCCCTCCATTGCCATTTATAAGCTGAGAGGCCCTGGGTCCATTACTTAATTTCACAAAATGTTTTTCAATTTTTTTCTTCTGTAAAATGGAATTATCGTTTCTACCTAGTAGGGCTGTTTGGAGGATTAAACAATACAAAGAAGGTAAAATGCCTATCATAGTCACTCAATAAGTATTTCTTATTTTCCTGATTACAAATTAAATAAATGATTGATAATCATCAAAATGCATTTGTATAATGTGCTAGGTGCTGTCCTAAGTGGCTAGAGGTTGATACTATTGCTATCCTCACTTAATAGATGGAAAATACAGTTTTAGAGATGAAAAATAACCTAGAGGGAATGGCACATGGGACCTGTGGCTGAGAAGAGGCCCTAGGAATTCTGTGGCTGCCAGAAGTGAGACCTAGGAGTGGACGTGGGCTATTGGGCTTCCTCCTTGACCGGATCCAGGCCTTCCTTGCATCTTGGACAGTCCGTCTCACAGAATTTGGGACTGTGCAGAGTGAGAATCCAATGAGCTGCCTGAAACTGGTGCTCACCAAGAATTTATGGAAGTTTTTATTGCTATTTCCAACTGAGAACTTTTCTTCAATCATTTATGGAAAACATAAAAGCCAGTGGGAATCAACTAGGATAAAACAAGGTCAGAACCACTCTTCCAGATGCTGAGCACAGCTGGTTTTTGCTTAAGCAGTGGAAGCAAGAAAGAAGGATATCCATTGGCTATTTGGGTCAGAAACAGCACCTTAAAATATCTCCTCCATAATTCATCTCGTCCCAAATAGAATGTGGGGTCAAATTGCAGACCCTAAACCTTTTCATCCCTTCTCCTCTTCCTTCTCTTCTTCTTCCTTTTTCTTCTTCTTTTTCTTATCTCATGGGATTGGTATGAAAAATAATAAGGATTTTATTCCACAATGGAAAAAAAAATATCTCTCTGGGGTGGTAGATACCGCAATTCCAGAAACAAGCTGGAATGCACCAAGAGCTCCCTTATATGCCTAAATGCAGGCTGCTCTTCCTCTGCCTCTATTTTACAGCTGGGGGAGCCATTGCCCTGGGAACAAAGAGGAAAATGGGAACAATCCTAATTTTAATATTCATAACTCATGAGCAGTCTGAAAGTTTTTTTAATAAGTTCACGATTGTCCTTTGAACTTTTAATACTCCTTTTACCCAAGGGGCTTTGGAGGGGTTTGAGAAGAGCCAACCAGCCAAGATCACCCTCCCACTCCATGACCTGTAGATAGCACCCTGCCTGGGAACTCGACAGAGAGAAAGCATCTGTCCATCCCACACTGGCTATCTCCAGGAGTCCAGAAGAGCATGACTCTTGCTCCCAGGAACAGATCTCAGGCTGCCAGTAATCCATGTGTAACTGCAGAAAGGAACACTGGTGGGGGGTTAATACCAGATTGGCACATTCACATGTTTGGCATTCTCATATGCTGTTCATAACACAAATCCACCAATCCTCCTTTTGGGGATACACCCTGGAATGGCTGGAAGAGACAGACTGGGGCCCACTGCTCTGAAGCCTTGTATGGTGGTGGTGTGCCTGGGAGGAGGTAGCAGGCACCATCTTCCTGATAGGAAGCCACCTGGACTGATCCCAGGGTCCCTGCCTCCTGAAAGCAGGGGAGAAAACCTGGGTTTGTACTCTGATTGTCAGTGTGCCCAAGAGTCTAGAAGAGATTTCAGTGAGATGGAAGAATGATTATTTAAATGATACAAGCATTTGCTTTTAAAGTTGGAGAGAAGGAAAGCGTAGAATTTAAAATGCCCTTGAGTCTGCCCATGGGAAAGAGTTTAGGGAGTGACACTGAGGAGAACGGAAGGCTTTTAGGGGAGGACCAAAGACTATTAGAGTTCTTTTTGGGAATGGTAATGAGCTATCGAAAAAGTGATGCCTGAGAAGAAAAAGCAAGAGGGGAGCAGTCTGTGATAGAAAGGTAAATGAGTCATTTGATGAGTAGAGTGCATCTCAATCTTCAGTGTGCATTAGAGTCAGGGGAAGGCAGGAAGGTAACTATAAAGCGCCTTTCCCTAGGACCTCTTGAGGCTCCAATGCAGTGGGTCTGGGCCATGGTTTGATCACGACGTGGGCACTCCGCAAAGCACGCCTTGAAATACACTAAATGGGATAGCTAAAGACAGGGCGTAGAATCAAGAAACCCAGGAAAATTCCTAGTAGGTGCCTAGAATGAGTGGAGGGAGATGGTTGAAAGAGCAGCTGCCGAGGTGGTAGGTCCCTGTCTTATAAGGACAGGTTGCAGGGTACAGGAGAGGCTGAAGAGTCCCAGGGTGGACTGAGGACAGTGTGGAATGCCTGGGAGGCTGGGGTGTGGAATGCATGAGAAAGTTGCTCCAGGACTCCCTGCTCCCCCAGGGTGCAGATCATTTAATGGTCTGCAAATGATTTAACATCTCCCCTAGTCTGGGTTCCCAGGGTAAATTGTCTCCATTCCCACCACAGAGGAGCTGTGCTGTCCAACAGCTAGCAGGCCGGGAGCCACTGTGCTGGGTGGGGTGCTTTGGCCAGAATGTTGCTGGAAGTGGCACTGTAGCAATTACTGCTTAAGAACTAACTGTAATTATTAATTATGACCCTAACAACAGTTGAGGTCCTGCATAATTCTTTCTGTGGGCTGCCTTTTGCCTGCGGAGCCCAATTTCTCAAACGTCTCATTAGTCTTAAAATAGTTTTTTTCTATATATAATTTTTTCTTCCAAAGTCAGTTGTATATATAAAAAAGGATTATAGTTGTATAAAAACAGGATCTATAGAAATAGATTTATTTTTAGCCAAGAGGCGGCAATACTCAAGCTTTCCTTCTCAGCGCAGGGCTTATTTCTCTTTCTCTATTTAAATATTCAGGTCTATTACTATACTGAACTGAGATTTGGTTTATTCTGGTAGAAGTAGCTAAATAAGGGTACACACTTAGCAACTCATAACTTCATATGTTTAAGTGCTGGAATAAGGTGTAAGTTAAAATCGGGCTTTTTGATTTTCACTGTAGATAGAGTTCAGAAATACTGTCATAGTTAAAAAAAAAACCAAAATGTTTCAGCTCCGGGAGAAAATGAAACTCTGTGATACAATAGACGGTGCTTGTGATTTTATTTAACAGTTTAATCTTTGCATACAAACAAAACCACCTGAACAGAAGCTGGTTTCTTAAAAACAAGAGCAGCGAGTATGATAATAAATGCCCTGAACACATCTCTGCTCATCCTATGGAATCTCTTTCGGAATTCGCATGTAGCTTTCCCTAATACGGAGCAAGGGGCTTTAAGTCACACTGCCATTCCCAACTGCTGTGCCTAAATTGCTTCTAGAAGCACCGAGCCCCTCCGATGCTGATGCAGATTTAGCTTTGGGCTGGGGAGAATGTGGGGAGAAGTCATTTGCATTAAAAAAACACTAGCTGTCTATTCCCATTAGAAAAAACTCTCGGTGTTTTAGTACAAATTATTTTAAAAGAGCAGATAACTTATGGATGCAGAAAGGGTAATCCACAAAGATGTATGCAACTTTGTTCAGTTGATGTCCTCAGGGCGAAAACATCAAGGATAACAAGTGTACTAAATACAAACAGACACAATCATAAAATATGACACCCATGATTAAGATACCCTTTTCAAGGGTCCTTCGCACTTAGGAGGGAAGCTGCCTTGTTAATATCAGGGCCCGTTATTTACTACGATTCAGAGGCAGGTTGAAACAATGATCTCTTCTTTCTTGACTGTATTCTTAAAAGGTTGTGAAATTCTGGGGCTTTAATCAGACTAGCCTAGAATCACAGCGCTGGGTCAGAGAGGGGATTAGTGTTAAGGGTTATGAGCTCAGTCTTCGGAGCTGGACAGATCTGGTTTGGAATCCCAGCTCTGACACTTAGATATCATCTTCTCTGAAGTCTAGGGGTCTTCATCTGCAAATGAGAAATTGAGGTTGTTGAGAGGATTAAACACAACAAAACAAAACCAAAAACCCAGATGTAAAGTGCTTAGTATAGTGCCTGGCATAGAAAAAAAAAAAGAGTGTGTGTTTCCTTCCTGAGTGCCTGAATACAGAAAAGATGGGAGAATTTTTAAAATGCACTATTCACTGATATATGAAGGAAAGAGATTTTTATGGTTTAAGAAAAATTGCACCAAGATCTTGGTAATTTTAGGTAGTAAGAGGAAAATGGAAGCGCATAACTGTCTGCGTTTGTGGATGGCACTGATACAATAACTGTTCATAGCCAACACTTAGGTATATCTCTTTCATTTATCTGAGAGTAAGTTAACAGTTCTTGAGCATTTGCTTGGTGCCAAGTGCCCTTTAAGTGCTTTATATGTGTTGTTTCATTTAATCTTTAAAACATCATCATGAGTAGGCACTAATACTGTTACAGGAGGTAGCCAGTCAGGCATGAGCAGGGCAGGAGAGGGCTTCCCCGCCCCCCCACCAAAAATGTCAGGCAACCATCAGGTGATGGTCAGGCGGTTGTTAACTGTCTCTCTAAAATAATAATTGTTCGCAGCCAGCACCAGGGAAAAGGCAGTCTCCCAATAAACACAAACACCTGAAACTGGCGATCAGCAGCTTCCCGATAAGATGCCAGGAGTTGGGCGAGTGGGCTCAAGCATGTGCATTAAGAGGCAATATGGCGGCGCTTAACTAGTATATGACCTCCTAGGTACATTTGACTAGTAAGAGATGAGTACTTCAAGTAAACATGCGTGCAACTCCAGTAAACACACTGCACATGCTCCCCTCACAAGTGCTGAGAGGCCACTGTGATTCTTCCCACCCTTCCCACCCCAGGGGAAGACTCAGGAGAGAAGGACCCAAGACCCCGGAAGCATGCCAACATGGAAAACTCCAACTCCAAAGGTCAAACCATGCACCTGATCTCTCATTGCCCACTTGGGCCTCTTCCAAGTGTACTTTATTTCCTTTTGTTTCTGCTCTAAGCTTTTTAATAAACTTTCACTCCTGCTCTAAAACTTAACCTCAGTCTCTCCTTCTGGCCCTCAGTCGAATTCTTTCTGCTGAGGAGGCAAGAATTGAGATGCTGCAGATTCGTACAGATTCGCAGCCGCGCTAACAATACTATCCCCATTCCACGGGGCAAGAAACATAGGAACAAAGAAGCTAAGTATTGATAATTTGTCCAAAGTCACAAAGCTAGTAAGAAGTGGAAACTGTATTTAAATTCAGGCACTTATTCCAGAGTATACTGTCTTTTTTTTTTTCTTTCAAATTTTTCTTCTTTTTTACTTTTTCTTTCAGCTTTCCAAGGTTGAACCGAGTCTACTTTCTTAACCACTCTATTGTGTGTTTTATTTATTTTTATATCTCTCACAGCATCATAAATAGTGCTTTGCACCTAGAGGACACTGAATATTTATCCAATGATTTTTTTAAAGAATGCAAGCCTTTGCTGTGAACGTGAGGGAGAAGGAAAGGGTTAAAGTGTTCTATCAGATTTTAGAACAATAAAGTCAAGTAGACAGATGGCATCTTACCAAAGAACAATGGCATAAAACTATTTATGGAGCCCTGTAGGCAGTGAGCAAGTGACTGAACATGGTTTAAGTCCTAAATTTGGAACCAGAAGAATACCAATAGCAAATGCATGCTGGTTAATTATTTCCCTCTGCACAATACCTACAAAATCACCTAGAACATTAAGACCTGTGTCATCACTAAACTTTTGTGAAATTATCATGATCTAGTGGAAAGGCCACAGGGTTGGGTCTGACCAGACCTAAATAAAACATCAAATTCCACCTCTTCCCAGCTGTGTGACTTTGGATACATTATTCAGCATCTTTGAGCCCTAGTATGCCCAATTTGAAAGGAAGGGGGCGTGTAACAAAAATACTAACTCCCAGCTTCCTGACATGAGATAAAGTATATGAAACTGTTGTGTTAATAATGAAACACTGGAGAAATACACATTCTTAAGTAACATTAGTTTTTACAACAGAAAACCCTCACATATCTACAGGGTGATGCAATAGACATTTTTTTTTCTTTTCTTTTCTCAGAGTGGGTCTTCCTAACTGGCCGGTAGCTCCAGTCTCTGTGGTAATTTAGAGACTGAAGCCCCTTTCATCTGTGGCTCGTCCACCTCCACAGGTTTGCTGTGGAAGGGGAAGAAGTGTGGAAAACTCCTGTAGGATGTTTCTGTAGACCAGAAAGTGGCTCAGTCCTATGGCCACCACTACATACAAGGGATGCTGGGAAATGCCATCTAGGGATGGCGGCAGGCATAAAAGGAAAAGGTTTTGGCCACTGACTGGCAATTCCAACTCCCAGTTTTTCATCAGGCTGTTGTAAGATTAAATGAGTGAAAGCAGAGGAGATGGCTCTGTTAATCATAAAACACTATGATATTATAGCCAATTCCTAATGTAGATGCCCAAACATAGGAATATTCCAAACAGAAATGTAAAGCTCTCATCCATTTGTTTTCTTAAATGCCAATTCCAAGGACAGTTTGCCAAGGCACATGGTGCCTGGTGATTGTCCCAACAGGTGAGCAGGCTGATGGCAATTCAGTGTGGTCAGGTAGAGTGGTCGTGGCCACACATGACTCCATTAGAGGCCGTTTGATCGTGTGAAAGGCTTGCAAACTCACAGGACATTGGTCATTGACTACTGTGCAATAGACTCATCAGATAAAAAAAGCTGAATAGGAAATTTGGAAAGAAAAGCATAGCAAGGGCCAAAAATGATACAGATGGATCTTTGTGAAAGAGCTATCGTGTCCTCTTCCCTTTCTATCTGAATGCACTAACAACTTCTGAGGATAAGTGAATTTGCCATTCCTCCCTGTGCAATCAAGAAGGATTTCTCAGTGAAGAGCAATTTCATAGATTTTTTATTATAACATGATTTTTTTGTTTCGGTCATCTTTTAGGAAGTGGATGTGCACTGAACATCCCAATTTTCCAGGAAAGAATTGATAAGTGACATGTATTCATCTGTTTCCATCACTAAATGTTTTGTATTTTATTTGTAATATATTATTTTTGTTTTAAGGTAAATCCAGATGTATTCAGGGGATACAGAATGATTTTTAATACTTTTTTGGTGGATTCCAATGATATATAATGTGTATATTATATAAAGGATTTTCTAACGGATACTCTTTTTAACTCCTTTATTTCTTACCATTCTTTATGTCACATATTATGTGCCATTCTTTACCTGGTAAAATACCTTTTGTTCAATTATTATACTCTTTGGAGTCAATAGATCTAAATTCTGAAAATAAAGTTAAGCAAAAATGGGTTATCAGGCCTTCTCTGACTACTTGGTCTAATACAGTGCATCATCTTGACATTCTACTTGGGTTGCCTTATTTTTCTTCTTGGCCTAGTATATATTTATGTATTTATTGCTGGGCTTTACCTACTAAAACATAAGCTCCATGAGGGTAGGGATTTTGGATGTCTTTGTTCCCTGCTGTATGCCTGGGCCATGGAATAGTGCCTGGTACCTAATGGATGTTCAGTGATATTGGCTAAATACATGCAAACATGAAAATTAGGTCTTGAATATCCTGGATCAATGATCTACTGTGTTAATCTTCCCCTCTATCTCAGGACTTTATTCCTCTAAAGCAGCACCTGAGAAAAACCGCTTGTCTCTGCCCAGCCACCTCCATTTATGTTTGAGTGAAGCTCATGATGTCTGCATCTCCTGGCATAGAAGAGGAGCTACTCTCTGGTGTTGCTCCCTAGACCCAGCCTATTTAAGAGCCATGCTGTCTTTCCACATGGCTGGGATAGAATGAGGCACGGGAAGTTACAGCGACAAGGATGAATTTCCAAGGATGAATAATTCTCACAGGAAAAGAGCACCGTGGTCTTGGGTAGAGAGTGGGGAAAGTTGGGAGAAGGATTTAAGGAATGGTCAGTGCTTTACAGTTATTTCAAGTTTTTCCTTTTATTATCAAGAAAGAATAAATAGATTTATAAATACATATATAGATAGTAGAGCAGGATAAAAACATTCCATTTCTTAAAAGAGTTACTAATAATTTTTTTGGAGAGAGAACTGCCTTTGGGAATGTCTGCTTGGGGCAGGTGAGACTTCGTAGACAGGGACAGATGACAAGGATTAAGGAAGAGAGTTCACTGCTTTGAGGGAAGAACTGGGTGAAGAGGAGAGAGAAGGAAAACTCAGTGAGATGGCTGGACTAGGAGAGTGAGGGCCAGGAAGGCCCCATGGAGGTTGTAGCCACCAGCCCTCAAGATGGCCCCGTTTCCTGGTATTCACACCGAGTATTCACACAACATAACTCTCTTCCACGTTGTACCAGGGCTAGTTTGTGTGGCCAATTAGAATATGACAGGAATGGCTGTATGTCACTTTCAAGATTAGGTTATAAAAGAGTATGGCTTCTTCTTGGGATCTCTCTCTCTTTCTGTGAGCAACTATGGAGAAGCTCATGTGTCAAGGAGATGAAGACTCTGGACAACAGCCAATAAGGAGCTGAGTTCTGTCAGCAATTACCTGAGTGATCTTGCAAGGAACTCCACTGGCGCTGGGTGAGTCTCGAGGTGACTGCAGCCCCATGAAAGCCCCTGAGCCAAAACAACCTAGAGGAGCCACTCCTAGATCCCTCAGGTAACACTTTAATACATTTCCAACTCTTTAAAGTTGGTAATGTTGGGGGGTAATTTGTTATGCAGCAATAGCTAATGAATACAGTGGTAGAGGAGACAAAGAGCATATTATTCACAGTGACGTCTGTTGTTTTATGGAGGGTTCTGAGTAGAAAATGGACTCTGATCCTGTCTTAGTCCAATCAGGCTGCAGTAACAAAATACCATAGACTTCGTAGTGGATATAGTTTGAATATATGTCCCCACTAAAACTCGTGTTGAAATGTAATCCCTGATGGTAGGAGGTGATTAGTCATAGGGGCAGATCCCTCATGGCTTGGTGCCATCCTCATGATACTGAGTGAGTTCTTGCAAGATCTGGTCATTTAAAAGTGTGTAGCCCTTCTCCTTCTCCCCCAACTCTCTCTCTCTTGCTCCTTCTTTGGCCACGTGATATGTTGGCTCCCTCTTTGCCTTCTGCCATGATTGAAGTCTTCCTGAGGCCTCCCCAGAAGCTGGGCAGATGCCAGCGCCATGCTTCCTGTACAGCCTGCAGAACCATGAGCCAGTTAAACCTCTTTTCTTTACAAATTACCTAGTCTTAGGGATTTCTTTATAGCAATGCAAGAATGGCCTAATACAGTAGCTTATAAACAACAGAAATGTATTTCTTACCGTTCTGGAGGCTGAGAAGTCCAAGATTAAGGTACTGGCAGATTCAATATCTGGAGAAGGCCTATTTTATGGTTCATACATGGCACTTTCTTGCCATGTGCTCACATGGTGGAAGGGACGAGGAGTGTCTCTCAGGCCTCTTTTATAAGGGCACTAATCCCATTTACGAAGGTCTTGCCATTATGACCTAACAATCCCATAGTCCCTACCTCCCAATAACCTCACCTTGGGGGTTAGGATTTCAACCCATGAATTTCGGGCGAACATAAACATCCAGACCATAGCTGATCCACATCTATCTTTAGACTCTGGGACACACTTTGTGCACCTGGGCAGCAAAGAAACCAGGAGGGGGAGACTTGGGTACCTTGAAGGACTTGGGGCTTTGAATTTTCCTCTGAGATGATTTAGATGGACCTGAGTTGAGCTGAGGATAGTCTTCTTGAAACAGACACAATCACCAAAACTCTGGCTTAAATTGGCAACGTATCACAGTGTAAGGTGTAAGGTGGTAAGTAGGGAGCATCTTTCTTGCAACCAACAGAAAACATGCTCAGACTGACTTATGCACAACAGGGTTTTAATTGCCTGCTATAACTGAAAGGGCCAGAGATGGGTTGGCTTCAGGAGGGGTTGGATCCAGTGGCTACACAATATCCCCTGGTTTGGCTCCACCTGCCTCTCTGGCCTCCTCAGAGTCAACATCACCCCAAGCCTGGCTTCTGACATGATCACAAGATGGCTACCAGCCATGTAGGGGGCTGTGCATAGGATGGCAGCCTCCTTGTTCATGTCCAGCCGGCATGGACAGCTTTACTCTTCTGACCTGCAAAATGAAGTCACATGCTTCACATTGGCAAGACGAGCTGAGGTCATGAGTTCAATTCTGGATCTGTGTTCTCCCGCCTGGCTGGTGGCTTCTCCCTATCTCCCTGGGCAAGGGGGCTGGGTTTTGCAGGTGGATTAGTCCTGGAGCTGAAGGTGGGGTTCATAACGGAGCCATGGTGGAAGGAAGGCTGGAACTGAGGTCCAGAGAGATTCAGGGGCTTGCCCAAGGCCAAACAGTGAGAAAGGTGAGAACTAGGTCTTGATGCAGAGTCTGTCTGGCCCCCAACTCCACGCTTTCCTCCTCTTGCCACATGGCTGTCACCCACTCAGTGTTCAGAAACAAAAACATATGATCCCCTCCCATGTGTCTGGCACTGTGCTTTTTTCTGTGTTCATGCATTCATTTTTCACACCAGTCCTGTGCAGTGGATATTGGTATTATTATTCCCATGTTGCTGATGAAGCAGTGGGGTCTCAGGATGTGCAAGCATCTCGCAGGAAACTGGCAGAGACCAGAGGAGTCCTCTGAACAGGCAGCTGAGTGGGAATCTCTGTGGGATGCTGTGGGGCCCCTTGCTGAGAGGGGCTCCGAGCTGTGGGGCGTGGGGTGTCAGGCATGCAGTCAGGTGGCAGGAGCAGCATTCCAGTTCGAATTTTCAAGCATTTTGGAAATTTTGAAAGCCATCCTCCAGCTCAGAACATTTCTCAGTCTTGATCATCTCCCATTAACCCTTACCATCACTGCTCCAGTGCCCTCCACCCCACACACGCAGAGACACACAGACACACAGACACAAAGACACATACACACACACAGATATGCAGACACAGACATGCAGAAACACATAGACACACAGATACACACACACATATACATAGAGGGAAACACACACACAGACACACATACACACAGACACACACACAGACACACATAAACAGACATACATACAGACATGCACAGACACACATACAGATTCATATACACACAGACACACGTGCACGTGTATGCGCACACACTGTCCTTCCATCTCTTCAGCTCACGCCAGCCTCCTGATTCCTCACTCACCCAGCCTCTGGTTTCTTTCCAGGGTTTTGTCTCTTGCCTGGAGTGAACAGCCTTGCAGCTTGTTCCCTGCCCTCCTGCCCCAGAAACAAGCACCCCCTCCGTCTGAACGTTTTTCTGAGCACTTTACCATTAGTGATAGTGAGACACATTCTAGAAAGTTCCTGTTTCACAGGGATGGCATGCAGAAAGCCAGCACTTGAGAAGAACATGCAACTTAGCAAGGCTTGCTCATCTTTCCCCATGATGACGGAGCCCCTGAGGGGCTGAGTGGTGAGAAGAGAAGCGGGGCCTGAGCGCTGCATGGGAGCCTCACACAGGGAGAGGGAGAGGGTCCTCTGGAGTGCTGTGGCTTTGCCCTTCTCTCTTTTCCTTCTTGTCCCATGGCACTGTCAGGATCCTTCTGGGCTCCCATTAGCTCAAGGATTGAATGAGGCAGGCGCTGGTGGACGGGAAGACTCCAAGGAGTGAACATTGTGAGGATAAGATGAGAAGATGAAGGAAGCCCACAGGGACAGGACGGGATTTCCCAAGAAACAAGTCTGTACCTGCCTTGTTTATGTTTTATACACAAAGGATGCTCAGATACAAAGAATATCCTTGTTTTAGCCTGTCTGTCCACATGGCAAATCATTACGCACCAACTCGTCACTCTCCGACGCTGCAGTAAACTGCCTGCACTTGCCACCTCTTCGTCTGCGGCCCGGCTCATAAGCCTTCTTCTTGATCACTTGGTTTCTTGCCTACTGTCGGGTGGAAGGAGGCCACAGACCCTGGAATCAGGAGAACTTGCTGTAGTTGTCAGCTCTCCTGCTTAAGGAAGGCACTTTACCTCCCAGGGCCTCCGTTTCCACTTTTGTAAAACTAGGATAATGCTGTTGCCTAGTTGTGTTGAAAATGAAAGGGGGTGACATGTATAAAATAAATACTGGAGAGTGGAAATTCTTGCCCCTTGTGAAATGTCGTCATTACAAACACATGGAGTAATACCAAAGTACCTAGCAAGTTGCAGGAAGAGAGAGGCTACTAGAAATAGCACATACACAGTATCATTTTTGGGTGAATTTAAGTAATTCTTCATCTCCTTGTACACTTCAGCTGCTGAGTACATGGATCTGTCGTATAGGCAATAGAAAGGCTACAAGTCTTGGTATTTTCTTCAGGTGATGGGAACAAACTTGGCTCTAGCCACCTTGACACCCATGTTCAAATTGGGAGAAAAAATTTTCTCTCTTGGATGTTCAAATCAGAGGCAAGTCCTAGAAGGTGGAAGAGATGTCAACATCAGGCTGGAAGTGCAACAGTGGATGACAAAGCCCTGCCAATAGGTGGCTGGAGGAGACGCTGGCTTTAGCAAAAAACCCTTCTCTACCAGGCCCCAGGAACCCATGGAAGGTGAATCGCAAATAGTAATTATAGGGGGAATGAGAACAAGCATTGGTGTGACTCATCCATGCACCAAGTCACTGGCACCCCTCTTTCCTCTCTTCCAAATCTCCTCTCTTCCTGTAGCTGGTTTGAGGACTCCTATGTTGCCTTTGAAACTGTGAAAATTTTCTTGGGTCCATCTCTTTGGTTGCAGTTGCTTCTGTTGCTGCTACTACCTTACTTCTCAACACAGATCTTCCAAGGGATCAGACATTGCTGTTGGCGCACATGTTGACTCTCTGCTCCTATCATAGCCAATGGGAGTGCAAGAACCCAGCAAGTAGCTTCTACGGCCACTGGGATGGGAGATGGGTATTTTTCACCATATGTATCTTTCTTTATTGAGCTCCTCAAAGGGTAGTCTCACTCTTCCTGCATTAAAAAATGAACAAACAAGCAAAACACAACTGTCCTGTCCCTGGATGAAAGTATCCTTGGCTGACTCAGAGGACAACAAACAGGTCTATCCAATGTCTCACCCCAAACTGTCCAGCTGTCTCAGTCCCCAATGTGTGCTCCAGGATAAAAGCAGGAATGTCTCCTTCTGTCTGAAATCCATCCAGGGAATTTCCTGGGAATTGGGGGGTAGTCTTTGCCCCTGGCATTTGTTTGTGTGCTTGATTCCAGAGTCCCTGGCTCCATCTCCAGTCCCCAGAGTCCTTTTACCATTCCTCCCAGTAGGCCCAGTGTTTTCATGCAAAAGGAACCCCTGTTTCTGCTCATCAGACTTAGGCAAGGACAGAATTTTAGAGCTAAAAGAAATCTAATTTTGTTTCTTTACTGTATGCAGAACTAGAGAGGCCATGTAATTTGTCTATAAGTTCACATCTAGTTAGGGGCGGAGCTAGACTCAATTCTTGGTCTTGGAGTGTCTAAGTCAGACCTCTTTCCACTGGAGCAGTCACTCATTCCTCAAGCGGGAGTCCCCAAATGGTGATGATCACCTCAGGCAGCTGACAAAGGGGTTCATAGTATCTATGTGTGGTCAGCAAAATGTGGGGCAGTTTTCAAGCAATCAAAAATAGATTGGAAGAGAAGTACACCTATATCCGTAAAATTGAATTTATTGGAGGAAGAGTAATTTACATCTGAAATACAATTCAAGATTAATCTAATATAGACCAGACATGGAGAATTAACTCTTCTGACTGTTATTTTTGAGAATACGCATAATTGCTTCCTTTTTCTCGATAACGGATAAGATTATTTTTATTGTTCCTGACAGCTCCAGTATTTTCTTTTCCTTTCTTTTTTTTTTTGCGACGTAGTCTGTGTCACCCAGGCTGGAGTGCAGTGGCAACCTCTGCCTCCCCGGTTCAAGCATTCCTCCCACCTCAGCCTTCCTAGTAGCTGGGACTACAGGCGCATGCCACCATGCCCAGCTAATTTTTGTGTTTTCATAGAGACAGGGTTTCACCATGTTGGCCAGGCTGGTCTCAAACTCCTGACCTCAGGTGATCCACCCGCCTCGGCCTCCCAAAGTGCTGGGATTAGAGCCATGAGCCACCACGCCCAGCCAACACCTCCAGTATTTTCAAGACAAAATGTGAAATTTCTTGAAGTTGTCATTCCTCAACTGATTATTTTCTATTTAATCCATTAAGTATATGTCAATAACGTGTGTATTTTTATAAAACAGTCACACATATCTCTCATGTACTTTTTTTCTTGTCTTGGGATAACTAGACTAACCCAAGCAGTCCCAAAGGGGTGCCCTGGTGTACCCCAAGAGATACTGAGTTTTTCCAAGAGCAGGGACTCTGTGTAATCTGTCTTTGGCTCCACATTGTCCCTCTCCGTATAAAGTGCTATTTTTTTTGTGGAAGCCAAAACATTCCTTTGGGACTATGGACTACAGAGTATCTATGGAGATACTATCTTTAGATCCTATTTGCATTAATGGGATCCTTTCATTCCAGAGGCTCCGAGTCTCTGGTCACTCAGCATGTAAGCCCTACATAGCGTTTTGTCTGTTGGAGCTCGTGAGCACTCTGCAGGCATCCATGCAGCAGCAGTGACTTCAGGTGTGGGGGACCAGAAATCAAATCGGGCCACGTCATCCACTGTTCTGGACACCCCAGCTTCCTCAGCAGGGTTCAGCTGCTATTTCCTATCTATACTCAGGTACATACCTGGCCCTGTGTTGATTCAACAGCTGTGGGAAATTCAGAAGCCAGGCTTGGTCTAAGGGGTCTATGAGAAGAAGTGACAGAAAGGTCTTGGCCAGGCATCATTGGTTTCCCCTTATCCCTCCTACCTGTCATTTCTGGGTGCCCATTTCCTTGTAGATCTAGAATTCTGGGGCACAGTCACTAAGCAAAAGTCTAGTCTCCTACTCAGACCTTATAGGAGTGGGCACAGTGTTCCCTGAAGCTACCTCCTTTCTCCCCAGGTAGCCATTTCCACCTTCTTTTCCTTCAGCATCCACGTATGAGAGAGTCTCTGAAGATCCCATTGTGCTAGCCAATGGAGGGATGACTTCTATTTGCAGCTCTAAGGGAGTCAAGGTGAAAACCTGAATAAGTAAAAAAAATCTTATCTTCTTCCTAGATAAACTCTCAGGCAGTTCAGTATTGTGAAACAGTTGGGCGCAACTTGGGAGCTGGGAAAGACTAGGTTTAAATGTCAGATTTGCCACTTACTCACTGTGTGACCTTGGTTAAGTTTCAAAACCCAGTTTCCTTATCTGAAAAATGGGGGAAATAGTAATGCATACATCATAGGGTTCTTATGAGGAGTAACTGATAAAGCAAAGTGCTTGTCTCAAAAAATATTGGCTACTATTATTGTTAAGCTTTGTGATATGGACTATGACCCAGTTCGACCTCGTTTGTCTTTCAGATGAAAAAACTGGGCCTCAGAAATGTGATGTTCTGTTCAGCTGCCACACAGCTATAGATAATGATATTTAAAATGAGCTTCTTGGCCTCTGAAACTCAGCTCAAGGCTTTTCTACATCATACTTTGAGTACAACTTACAATGCACCACCCCCACCCCGAACTTCCCGCCACCAAGCTTGAAAAATAATTAAGTATAAAACATGATGTGTATTTTTTGAAGCATTTCTGGCATAATCTTGTTTTATATTTATTGCCTACAACTTTGGACTCTATGACACTGGATATGTGCAAGTGTGTGCTTAATAATTGTCGGCTAACCGAATGACACTAAAGTTAAAGAGGATGATTGACTAGAAGTTAACATTGTGTACAATTTGTTTTCCCAAGAACAGACATAGTTAAGAATAGCAAGTCTCTATGATGTATTTATTTATTTTTACCTTAAATGTTCTGCTATTCCTAAGAACAGCAAAGATTAAAGGAAAAAACAAAAGCCAGTGTGGTGACAGTGAAAGTGTATCCACTTGCTTGGATATTAGGATTACCCCAGATGATGCAGATAGTCTCGTGGGATTAGAGGTCAGAGAGAAGGCAGATCATATGCAGCAGCTGGACACCATATTGTTGACCACTTGGAATAAAATCCCTTCTGTCTTGCCCTTATACACAAATTTATACCAATTACTCAGGTCCAAAGTTGACTTCCGATTCTAGCCTTAACAGACAAGTGCTGAGCCTATCAAGTTTTATTGCAGTCAATACATCTCCCTTCCAGAAGCAACTGGTCACAGCCATTTCCAACAGAAAGCTGCCTGGGCCACCCTTTCTTCTTTTTATAGTTTGTTTCCAGACACTCAGTGACCCATAAAGTTAACTTATAACCAAGTCACAGCCATGACCAGAGCTGTTGTTCTTGTGTCCACCCCTAAAGTTGCCTTTTCCCAGGATGTGCACACTCAGAGGCAATGAATCATACTGTTTGTCCTTTGTGGGGTCATTCCTTTTGGTTGAACCCCAGGTCCTGGGTCCTTAACCCAGACTGTTTCCTTTAAACATTCTCCAAACTCTGGGGTTTTTAAGATTTTGTAGTTTGCCCTTATGAACGTGTATATTGCATGAACCCTGTCTTAATGGAGATGTGCCTCCTGCGTGGTGAGCTGGGGTCAAGGCGTGCTGTGGGCTTGAACCATCTGTGCAAACATAACAATGATTGAGTTGATATTTCTATTTTGATGTCCTGGTGGTGTCACTTACAACCTAATTTGTCTTCTCACCCTTCATTCCCTCTGGGGTGAGGATATATATATTGAAGAAAGGTTGATAAAGCAAGTCAGCCTGTAGGCTGAGTTGGAATTGAATTATTTAAGGAAGGCCATGAGGGCACAGGCTCCCGCAATGCTCATGTGCATGACTGTGATTACTAAGTCACCCAACCTCTTAATTTTCTGGATTTAGGTAGGTTAATAAGATTCCTTGATCAAGCTAACTAGTTATGGAACTAGTTAAAAGCAGGACCAAGGTTGGAACTAATATCTTCTCATCCCCATTGTGTTTTTCTCATTACACCATACGTGTTCCATCAACATCTTTTTTCCTCCCTGTGGCAGAGAGATTGGCTTTACAAATAGGGAGGGAGTGATGAAAGATATTTTGGTTTTAGCTTGCGACTATCTCCTATAACATAATTAAATAAATGAAGAAAGAAAACGGGTTAAATCTCATCATAGAAATATACAATGTTAGGAAATTTTGATTTATAGAATTTTAGAAATGGAAGGTACTTTAAAACAATCACCTAGCACAGTGAGTTTCCAACTGTGTTCAGTGAAACCCCAGGGTTCTGCACAGATGCCTCAAGGCCTTTAAAAGGTAGGAGAAGAGAGTATATAGGACTCAGAGCTTTCTGCCTCAGGGCCATTAAAGCAAGTCTGTCTTTATCTGTTTTATATGTTGGGGTTTTATGTTGGATTTTGTTATAAATGGGGAATCACTTCTAAGGAAAATTTGCAAGCTGTAAATCTAGGTCAAACCCCTCAATTTACAGATGAGAAAACTGAGGCCTGGAATCTTGAACCTGTGGAGTTGCCAAGTAAGACTCTTTATTCCATTCTAGGGATTAGGAAACTAAGATTCCAAGATTCAGATCTTAAAGTTTTGTAGAAAGTTATGGATTTTGTCAAGTGGCAGAGCCAGGGCTGAAGCTAGCTGTATGTTTTTTTTTCATTCCTAGTGCATGACTTTTCCCAACATATCATGTTATTTAACAATATCCAACATATGGTGATCTTACTGCTCCATGATCAAAGAAGTCAGAGAGAATGAAGGTCCTAGAGGCAGGAGTTTGAGGGAGCCGATTAAGAGAGAATAGTCCACTAGTGTGGGGGAGGTGACTATGGAAACAGGGTGATTTATTTTCATTTCCTTTCTTCACGGTTCCATTTCATTCTGCAAATTCCCTGCTGCAATGCTGTATCCCCAGTATCTAAGCCCAGGCCTGGCAATTAGAGCACAATACATATTTGTGGATTCAGACTTTCAAATGCACGTCCTTGTGACATCCTTCAAACAGTGTACTGGTCAGGAACTCAAGAGTATGGTACATTTAAAAATCAAATACTATATCAAATTTGGAGAAGCATAACCATTAAGGTAGTGTATTTCAACACTGGTAGGTGCACAAAGCCTGCTCTCTAAAAGAAGCAAGTGGCCGGGTGCGGTGGCTCATGCCTGTAATCCCAGCACTTTGGGAGACGGAGGCGGGTAGATTACTGGAGATCCGAGTTCAAGACCAGCTTGGCCAACATGGTGAAACTTCGTCTCTACTGAAAATACAAAATTAGCCAGGCATGCTGGTGGGCACCTGTAATCCCAGCTACTCGGGAGGCTGAGGCAGGAGAAGCACTTGAACCTGGGAGGCGGAGGTTGCAGTAGGCCAAGATTGCACCATTGCACTCCAACCTGAGCAAAAAGAGCGAAACTCCATCTCAAAAAAAAGGAAGTAAGGGAAGTAAGTAACTCAGCTGGCAGGGTCTGAATCAGAGTGGATCACTTTCTCTGAGCTGCCCTGGCACAGCCCAATTGTACCTATGTCTCAGGCATGGTCCCCAGTGTCAGCAGACACACTGATCCTGGTGGAGGGAAGTGCACATCGTGCAAGGCATTCCCATAAGCCACCGGACAGGTGTTCAACTGCCCTCTGGGTAGCCTGACCCTGAATGAGTTTAAATAGAAACAAATAAAACCTAGGATCAGAAGGTTCTTATATTGTACTTAAAGTGGTTAGCATTTGTAGTAGGTTATCAAAGAATATTGTACAACATCTTTCCCTAGGGAACTTTAAGAATAGGATGGCTAGATCCTGCAGTCTGAGATATTTTTGTCTCTATAATAACACCTTAGCACGGTATCACAGCTTATAGTACGTGCCTCGAGGCCAGGCATGGATTAGATACCCTTCTGAGGCCATCTGCTCCCTGGATTTGTTTCAAAGGAATGAAACACGAGGTGGAAAGGGAGAGAGATAGAGAGCTAGAGAGAGAGGAGAGAAAGAGAGACCGATCCACGGACCCTATTAACAGGGTGAAATCTGCCTAAACTAGGAAGCCAGAGGAGTAAGACCCTGATGGAAACCACGCTTGCCTGTCGGTCCTGATTTTGCCCCAGTCCTTCAATACGCCTCTCACGGTTTGTGCTACGGTCTTCTGTGCGTTCAGGGGTGGGCTGGTTTATGTCAACATAGTGGGTTTACTGTAAAAATCATTATTGGTACTTTTGGATGTGGCTTTTCTATTTAAAATAATTAAAACCAACGAAGCTTTTTCTTTCTGACCCAATTCCTGGCTGTCCTCTGCTTTGGTGTCTTCAGGCCAACCCTGGGCTCTGGGAAGCTCTAAGGATGGAGCCTGTCTCCTCCACCTGCTACACGCAGGGCAAGAGGGCCAATGCGCACCCCGCCACGGCCAGGAGCCTCATTATTCTTTTTGTTTTAATTCCCCTGTGTGGATCCAAATGGCAGTCCCAGGCCCATGGATAAGCAACAAGTGGCTGGAGGAGGGACAAATCGGGCTCTCCGCGTCGCTCCCCGCCTGCTTCCTACCCGCGCCGCCGCCCACTGCCCCGTACAGGGGTCGCAGCCGTGGAGCGTGGGAATGGGACAGTCCCATTTTACAGCTCTCGTTCATCCCGCCTGCGGCAGGCGGCTCCTGACAGGGAAGAGCAAGCTTTCTGGACTTCCCCACCCGCGGTCCCACCGGGCCCGTGGCGCGCCCACGCCTCCTCCCGGGCCCCTTACCTCCCGCGCGCGGCGGGCGCACGCACCACCTGACTCGCGTTCTCATTGGCTGCTGCCTGTTGCTAACCCACGTGACCGGAGCCGCGCGCCCCGCCCCCGCGGGCTCCCGCTCGGCCGGCGCGTTCCTGCGGGCGTTCGCTGGCCGGCGTCGGGCTCCGAGCCGCGGGTCGCTCGCCTCGCCGGCTTCGCCCCGCCGCGCCGCTGCCGCCGATGCCCACAAGGTGGCAGTGCCGCGCTGCGTGTCCCGTCGCCCGGGTCCGCGCGAGCCGCGCCAGGCGGCCGGTGCCAGCGCAGCCTCCCGCAAAAGTTTCCCTGCTCCGGAACGGACCGGGGCATCGCACTCTCCTGGCGGGCTGGTGACAGTCCTCCCGTTCTCGGGTTGCCTCGGGGCGATTTGCACTTCACAGCCCCGCTGGCGTCTCCTGGCGTCCCGAACTTGGGGCCTGTCACTGAGGCAAGTCGATGTTTTCAGGAGTGTTTTGTTTTGTTTTGTTTTAGGATCTGTACGCTAATAATTGATCCTAAAGAGGCAGGCAGACACCCCGACAGCGACACCTCGTCTCTCTTCTGGGCGTCCGGCTGAGCTTGCCTCACTGCAGAAGCAACCGATAGCTTCCCTTTGCGCTGGTGGAAGACACAAGCCAGCAGCCCTTCGGAGGGGCCTCCCCGCACGCGCCTCTTGGGATCCTGACTTGCTTAGGAAGAGGAGGGCACGGGGAGCCTCCTGCTCTGCAGCTGTCCCCAGGATGCCCTTAATTCCCGGGACAGGAGAGATAAGCTCGTCTGACCTCAGTTGACCTCGCCGCAGGCGCCAGGCGTCCTCATTTACTGCGAGGCATTGGGGAGTCTACTTTTCTCTCTGCTCCCTGGGATTTTTTTCCTTACGTCACTTTTTTCCTTGTTGGCTTGTAGCTGGTCTGATGTCCCCTTACTGCTATCTAAACCGCCCCCCTCTACTCCCTGCTCCCACCTAGGCACGCGTTTGCCACTCTCCATTTTTCCTTTAAAGAAAACGTTCTGAGAGCCCTTTGAACCCAGCTGACCCTGGGAAAGGGCAGGTCCGTGGATGTGAAGGCAAGTCCAGCAACTGGGGCTGCACTTACCTACATGTGAAAAGGAAAGAGAAACACACCTTGCCTGCCCATTGTCTACACCACGAAGCCCGGATTCCATTCCCTGGTAGTCAGGCCTTTCACACTGGGCTGCCCTCCAGGTAATATCCAAAGATGCCCCCAGCCTACTCCAGCCCCTAACAGGACACTCAAAGGGACTCTGTGTTCGTGACTGCTGGAATTTCTGCTGAGACCCCAACACAGAACAATATATGGGTCAAACAACTCCCACCCCCATTCTCAAGTGAGGTATAGACCCTCTCTGGGGTGTTGTTAAGGGACCGACACCAGCCTCGCCTTGGGGTGATACGATAGGAGGCTAAGGATGCAGGAGAGGCCAGCAGTGGGTCTTTCTTTTTAGAGAGGTGTCTATATGTTTTGCTTCTCCACCTACCTCAAGATAAATGACTTGGGCTCCAGAGAACTCCCTGAAGAGCTTTAGGTGTCTCCTGGAGTTTGGGAGGTGTAAGGACAGATGCAACCTGCAAAGCAGACGGCTGTTTGCAGTGGCGAGAGAAGGAGGTATTTGGAGCCACCTCTTCTTCCAAGAGCCAGTGAGTTATACATGCACTAAGTCTCCCTAGAGGCAGGGTGGACCCACATCCCCCCACAGGGGCGAGGTGAGCAGCACATGCCAGGACCTGAGGGTGACGAGTGAGTGCCAGCTAACAGGGGCTACCCATGTCCCAGAGCTGCAGCTGGTGAACTGGCAACAACAGGGGAAGAGGATTGAGAAAACCCAGAAAAGCATCCGCAGAAGAGCCAGCATGTGCACATCTGCCACTCCCAAGGGCACCAACCCCAAATGCAGCTGAATCCTCCTTGAAGAGCTTTGTTCTTTGGGCCCTGAGAAACCTGCTATGGCCTGAATGTTGATGTCCCCCCAGAATTTGTTTGTGAACGCTAATACCCAATATGACAGTATTAAGAGGTGGGACTTCTGGAAAGCGATGAAGTCATGAAGGTGGAGCCCTCATGAATGAGATTAGTGCTTTTATAAAAGAGATCGAAGGAAGCTGCCTTGCCTCTTCCACCATGAGAGAACCTGTGGAAGGTGCCATCTGTGAAGAACAGGCCCTCCTCAGACACTGAATCTGCTAGCACCTTGACCTTGGACTTTCCAGCCTCCAGAATCACCCAGTGATTGGAGAAGGTGGGGGATCCAGGAAGCAGGAACAAACACTGACTGGGTCCCCGTCCCAGCCACATGCTTCCAGACCTAAGCCAGCCTCCAGGTGTTGGAAGGAGGAGAGAAGTACTGATTTGAATGAGGTGGTCACGTTTCTCAGTTTGATTGGACTATATTTTGTAATAGTTGAAAAATGAGACAGTTTATGAGATTAACCAGGAAAGCCGGTCAATGAGATTTCATTCTGCCATAGGGGATAATATAAAAATACGGATAATAGCAAACATTGACATCACATTTAGTGTCTTACATCTCTTAACTTATTAATTAGGTTTGTGTGCTTCACCAACTCTTATAATTCCCATTGCATAATTGAGGAGGCTGAAGGCCAGAGAGGTTAAGAAATTCATCAAGGTCCACAACTGGTAAATGGCAAAACTGGGATTTGAATCCAGGCTTCAGTGTCTAGTTGTGGAATTGAAATGCTTCCCCATCGCTGAATCCTTATTTCCATTCTTAACCAAACCTCGCCTGACTTCAAGCCCTAACTCCAACCTCCCCAGCTCAGAAGCATCCTTGGCTGTGTCAGCTGAAGGAGCCTCCCCTACTGTCCTGTGCTTTCAGGGGCGCAGTCGTGGCTGCAGAGTGGCCGTCCTCTTAGACAGTGGGGGCATCTTTTGTGGAATCATGTTCAGAACCTGCAGCACATCTGTTAAATATGTTCGATCCTGGAAACTGCTCTTTTGATGGTGGATAGGATGTTTGGAGCCATCCAGACACCACTTGGAGTCCAGTGAAAAAGCCAGCAATCAAGCTTTGAGAAACCATTTTTGGTAAAATGAAATAGGATGCACTCTAACTGAATGAGACTGCTTTTCTTCTATGGCTTAAAAGATGGAACTAAATGTAATTCCCAAAAAAAGTCCCCCAAAAAGTGTGTCTTGGCAGCCTTACTGGAAAGCATGTATTCCAAGGGATCTATGCAGGGTAAAACTCATTTGCAAGTATCTGTTCTTTTTATTTTTAATCGATTTTTCTAATCATGCTCATCATTGTACTCAGCTTTCATTTATTTATGTTCTTTCTGTACAACTAGATTACGAAATTGTGAGGAAGGAGACTGTATCTTCTTTTTCTTTTCTTTTCTTTTTTTTTTTTTTTTTGAGACAGGGTCTCGCTCTGTCACCCAGGCTGGAGTGCAGTGGTGGGATTACAGCTCACTGCAGCCTCGACCTCCTTGGCTCAACCAATTCTCCCATCTTAGCCTCCCCAGGAGCCGGACTACAGGCATACACCACCACGGCTGGCTAATTTTTGTTATTTCTTTGTATAGATGGGATCTCACCATGTTGCCCAGGCTGTTCTTAAACTCCTGGGCTCAAGCAATCCGCCTGCCTCAGCCTCCCAAAGTGCGTAGCCTGGACTGTATCTTTTATGTTTCTCATTCCTTTTTACAACTTGGCGACTTGTACATAATAAGTACAAAATAAGTATGTTTTCATTAGACTGGCAAAAATTGGGGAAACTTTCTATCCAAGCAGAATGAAGAGGGTGATTCCAGCCATGCAGATGAGCTGAGGTCCAAGGCTGAAGAGAAGGTGCAATGCTGGAGTAACGTGAGGAACACTCGGCCTACTTGGCTAGAGCATCTCACGGGGGCAGAGGTTACTTAGTGGGATCATGGGAGATAGATTAGAAAGGGATGTTTTATGGCAGATTAGATGCTAATCCTCTATGCTAGTGGTTTCAATTTTTATTATCATTAAGATTTTCCCCTGCTCCCTCTTCCCTGCCTCAAAATTCCCCAAACCATATATAGGAACACCATTTGTAAAGCAGATAAAAGCAAAAGGGCTCTGGTTAAAATCATGGGGGAGGGACCCGGGTATGACTTCCTCCATGTGGTTCCCCATACACACAAGCCAGGGACCTCTGAGGAATCCTGGGGCTCTTCCAAAGCAATTTGAACCACTGGTGTGGACGCTGGGAAACACTGGATGGCAAGTTCCTTTTGTCTGTCTGTCCACATGTAGCCCCTGGCTTCCTGACAGTCCTCCATCAGTATCTGGTTCTCACAGTGTCACATCTCAACTCTCCCGGGAGTGTTTTGGAGCCACCGTCCCTGTGGCAGGCTCTACACATAGCCATTCCTCTTTCTTCTTTGCTAATAGAATCCAACTTTAGTTAGGGCAGCCAAGTACTCAGTGACGTGGTGACTGACCTAAGGCAAGGATTGGCCAAACCCAGCAGCTAACTCTTTTGGTAAATAAAGTTTTGTTGGAACCCAGACATGTTCATTTGCTTCCTTAGCACCTGTGGCTACTTTTGTGCTATAGCAGCAGGGTTGGGTGGTAGTGAGAGAGACTGTATGGCCTCCTAAATTCTTTGCTATCTGGCCCTTTGCAGAAAAAGTTTGAAGACCCCTGGTCTAAGGCAACCATGGCAATCCATTCTCCTTTGCTGAGATTGGGGGTAGTCATATAACCATTTTTGACCAAGGAAAGGTAAGGTAAATTCTGATGGAAGCGTCTGAGAAATATTTCCCTCCCTGATAAGAGAGAGGAACACGAGGAGAACGTTCTTTTTGTCTCCTCTCTTCCATTCTGTCATATGAGGATGTGCTGTCTGGAGCTGTGGCAGCCATCTGATGATCATGAGGGATAATACATGAGAGCCTGATTCCTTGATGGCATCATTCAGTTACCAAATCTACCTTTGGACCATCTACTTTCAAACTGTTTGTTGAGTAAACGATAAAAATCCTGATGGTTTAAGCAATTCTTCACTGGGTTTTTGTTAGTTGCAGCTGAATGTGGAATAACTAGGGCATTTGTTTAAAAACCTAATAGCAAAAGACAAGAGTGTTCTTGTTCAAGTTGTGTCACGGAATGAAACATAGGAAATCTAGTAGATAATAATGATGATGATGAAAGCTAGCATGCCAGTCACTAAACCAAGTACTCTACAATCCTTTTATGATCACAAAACCCAATGGAGACACTATTGTCATTATCTCCATTTTACAGATGGGGAAAGTGAGCTTTAGAGAAGTTTAACAATTCGCTCAGTTCCACAGTTAAGCACCAGAGCTCAAGTTCGCACCCACGTGTGTTGACTTCAAAAGCCAAGCGCCTATCTGTTGTTTGACACTGCCATTTCTGACAACAGATCCGAATTCAAATCTCAACTCAGCCACATGGAAGGCAAGTTACTTAATCTTCTTAAGCCCCAATTTTCCCACAATAATGTGGAGATATTACCTTCCTTTAAGACAAAATGCTGCCACTACCGTGACTGAAACATGGTGTTTCATTGTTTTTTGCTTCTGTGCTTGTTTCTTTAGCAGGGACTGGATGGCTGGAAGTTAGCTATAGGAGTAACCAAGAGGTGCAAAAGAAAGTAGCAAGGGAAGTGAAAATAGACTCCAGTGAGCAGAGAAAGGCATACCAGCTCCTGATAAATTAAAGGAGGCTGCCGCCGGTCCTGGAGCGGGGTTCAATGAGAAGAACGCATGGTACGGAGAGAGCCA
Source organism: Homo sapiens (assembly GCF_000001405.40). NCBI lineage: Eukaryota > Metazoa > Chordata > Mammalia > Primates > Hominidae > Homo > Homo sapiens. The sequence continues at coordinate 14,216,851 of NC_000006.12, forward strand.
CGAGGCTCACTCCTCACGAGTATGCATTGTGTTTGACCAAGAACTTGGTGACTTTATGGTCAGGTGTGGCCTGAGAGCACTTTCTAGTCCATTGTCCTGTTTCAAGGAGCTTTGAAAAATTGTAAGGAACTGAACAGAAAGGAATTGCTTGAGTTGTTGGTATGATTCACTTTTGTGTAAAACTGAGCCACTGTGCAGAAGTGAGTGTTTTTCAAAGTGAGGTCACGGATGCCTATGAACATTTCGCATGTCGGTATTTTCCTCGCTGTGGTAAGGCCCTTTACTCATGATGAATGGAAATCTGAAGACTCGTAGGAAGGGTCAGAGATTACCTTTGTGGCTGTTAGCTCTATTTGAGCAGTTTCCTCTCTGAGCATTCCTGTACAGTTTTTAATGGAGGAGAATAATCAAGACCAGCCCGCTCAAAGAGCTTATGAAAAATAGATGAAATTTAGAGTTTAAAATCCAGATTTAATTGTTAGGCTTACTTTTAAAAGAGAGCAAGAAAAACGACCCCAATGGCTTATTATATAACATCCAGATGTTCGGCATCAGCCAGACCAGATGAGGGATGACTTTTTCACTTTTCATCTGGATGCTTTGGCCTCTCTATAGACACAGCGAAAGAGGGCGGTTATATAAGAAGCTTGCTGGAGTGGCCTTGTCCTCATTCTCAACTTGCCCTTCAGGAGACCCATAAACATTCAGCTGCATTTTTAAGCTTAGATGCGATAGATTCTTAATGAATGCATTCCTTAGACCTAGCGTGGGCTTGAGAAGCTTCTGGAAATCATTCGATCTGATCATTGGCTCCAAGTAGACAAAGTACTGAATGAGAGAAATTTTCCCTTCTCATTCAAATGTTTGAGGCTCAGGTAGACCTAGACTGGCTTTATCGTAAAGGAGCTAATATAACATATCTAACATATCATTAAAATATGTTTGTGGGCTTTTAAAAAGTGACAGCTGCTCTTCAGAGTGATAGACAGGTGTCCACATTTCAGCTTTCTTTGTTTGTCACTGTGTGTGTTTGTTCTTACCAGTAATGCCTGGGAAGGGCGGCAAACACTGTTGTGCTTGGATACGAAAACCAAGGCCTGATTAGCGTAAGCGTTTGTTGAAAAAGCATTTTCTCTGCACACTAATCTCTACATATCCTGTGGGGAAATCCTTTCAATCCCGTACCTGATAAATAAATCTGGCAAGTGAATAAACACTCTCAAGTCTCTTTCTGGTACATAATTCCACCTGTTCTGTGAGTTCTGCCGGCCTCTGAGCTCGGGCAGTGTTGTGTACCTTTCAGACCGACCTGGAACAAAGCTGGCCGAGGAAAAGCAATGTTTGCTGTGACCCTGCCCATCACTGAGCACTCAACAGCCTTTCACAAGAACCAAGCGGGTGTTCAGGGCTACTGTGGACTTCTTGGATTATGGTAGATATTATTTGGTGCTTTTGTTGACCTTGAACCCTCCACTAGGCATTGGCTAATACTGCTGATCAGAAACATCATGCTCCTTTTCCTTCTGATTTTCCACCAAAGAATAGGGGCGCTGGGGCTGCTGCAAAGATCCTTTTTGAAAGTGAAAGTCAGGTCTCAGTGCTAACATGCTCTCTTTAATGCCCATGCAGTCTCCCTACTCTTCTGCAGGAGTCTTGGGCTGCCTCTCCACTGCACTTCCTACATAACTATGTTATGTGATTATAGTGTGGGATCATGGGGGCAGGGATTATGTCTTTTTGGTTTTGTAAAGACAACAGGCTGGCACATTCATTATTAATTAACTTTATTAATAATTACTTAATGCTAAGTGAATGAACTTTAGTGCTTGCTAAGTCTGTGTGTTTATTTGTGTGAGACATTACCAGAGAATGACAGGCCCTATTAAATTACGATTTTATTTACAAATGAATTAGAAAAATTTTCTTAAGGCTTTGATAAGATCCTTAAAAACGACAAAAGGTTTGATGGGCACCCATAGTAACAGGGCACACTACCCCAGCACCATCTAAATAATTATCTTCCATATCCGAGACAGGGCGTGCAAAGAGGACCCCTAAGATATACCCACGGTTCTCTAGAGGTACACGTGCACACGTTGAGAATGCCTTTACAAACCCTAAAGGATTCAAGTTCACTGCCCAATGCGTGGAATCAGGCACATATGCATGATGTTGAAACAAGTGTTAAGATGATACTGGTAAAAGGGGTAGACAGGTTATTTGATAGCTTATCAACAAAAGAGCTTCTCTTTGTTCTCTCTTGCTGTGTAACAAATTACCCCCAAACCTAGTGATTTAGTACAACAAACCTTTATTATCTCACAATTTCTGTGGTTGAGGAATCTGGGAGCTGCTTAGCTGGTGATTCTGGCTCAGGGTCTCTCATGATGTTGCTGTCAGGAGGGTCAACAGGGGCTGCAGTCATCTGAGGGCTTGACTGGGACTGGAAGACCTACTTTCAAGATGGCTCACTCACATGGCTATTGGCAGGAGGCCTCAGTTCCTCATGACCTGGGTCTCTCCCTAGGCTTCTTAAGTGTCCTTATGATGTGGCAGTTCATTTTTGCTGTAGTAAATTATCCAAGAAAAGGACCAAGAAGGACACCACAATGCCTTTTATGATTTACTTTCCAAAGTTACATACCATCTTGTCTTTTGAGGACATATTTTAAATCCATCAGAGCTGTTGCTTTGATGCGATTTGACAGGTATGTTTTGAGCACTAACCGGCCTTTCCAGATGTGCTTGTTAAATATGTAAATCCTGCTTGCTCTGCACTTTGGAGGGAGTCCACACAGACTTGCCCAATATGAGAAACAGGTTGTCTGAAAATCAGGACCTGTGGTTCAGAGTGTTTGACTTTGTAACTTCTACTCTTAAACCATTTTTGTTTTCTCTGTCTGCAGCATGGAGAGAGTTCTCCCTGAAATCCACTTCAATCTCTCTGAAGAATAATAACAATAGCACTTACTATTAGCTGTGTTAAGTGCTTCATGAATGCCAATTCATTAAATGCTCACAACCACTCTATGAATTAGATATTCGTGTCATCATCTGTATTTTGCAATGGGGATACTGAGAGATGAAATAATTTTCCCAGGGTCACCCAGCCGGTAAATGGTAGCACTAGGATTTGAGCCCAGAGACTTGGCTTTAGAGTCTGGACATCGACTTCCTTCATTGTGTTACAATACAGTGTCTGAACCTTCAGATGGGCTCCTGTGCAGCATCTACTTTCAGTCAGTCCATCTTGAAAAAAAAAGACTCTACAAAGTAAGAAGAGATTGAATTCTGGCATTTATTACCACCACCAATGGGCCTCCCACCACCTCCCCATCATCATACTGCTCTCTGGGTTCTAGAAATAGTTCCCTTTCCCGCCCCTTCAGGCCTGTGGATAATAACAACTCCCATTTGTGGTGGACAGAATGATGTGTCCCCCAAAGATGTCCCCTAAACCTGTGATTGTGTTACCTGACATGGCAAAAGGGACTTTGCAGCTGTAGTTAAAAACCTTGAGAAGACAGTATCCTGAATTAGCCAAGTGTAAGGGAGGAAAAGTTTCTTTTCCTCACCCATTTTAGGCTCACTGACTGGGACCTCTGTAACAAAAGATAGATTTACAAGAAAAAAAAAAAGCATACAAGTCTATTTAATATAATTTTTATGTGACATGGGGACCTTTACAAGGAAATGAAGACCCCCGAGAAACAGTTAAACTCCAGTGTTTTTTTGTTTTGTTTTGTTTTTTTGATACGAGTCTCAGTCACCCAGGTTGGAGTGCAGTGGCACAATCTCGGCTCACTGCCACTTCCGCCTCCTGGGTTCAAGCGATTCTCCTGCCTCAGCCTTCTGAGTAGCTGGGATTACAGGGACACACCACCACACCCGGCTAATTTGTATATATTTTAGTACAGAAGGGGTTTTTCCATGTTGGCCAGCGTGATCTCAATCTCCTGACCTCCTGATCCACTTGCCTCGGCCTCCCAAAGTGCTGGGATGAACCATCACACCTGGCCAAACCCGAGTGTTTTTACAGTAGGCTTGAAGAAGAATGGAGAGTCGTGGAAAAATATGATTGAGGGAAAACAAAAGGAGTATAAGCTCAGGGTGAGAAACTGGGGGAGCAGCAAGACCCATTTGCTCAGATTCCTCTGAGTGTCCCTCATCTTGGAGATAAGGATGCCGTCTTCCTCTAAGTGTAAGGAGGGCTCCTCTCACATGAGGTTCTTATGACCTGCCCCAGGGGAGAAGGGCAGGGGGAGTCAGAGAGACCTTCCTGCACCTGCTATTTCTGAAATTCTTTTGGCTTAAAATATTCACTCTGCACTGGTGCCCTATTGTAGGGTAGAGTGTCTTGAGCCCCATTACAGGTGTCCTTGATAAGGATCCCTATAGGGGAAAGAGGAAGGGAGGGGAGTGGGAGTTGGAGAGAGGTGTGAAGATGCTCTGTGGCTGGCTTCCGAGGTGGAGAAGGGGATCTTGAGCCAAAGAAAGGAGCAGCCTTTAGCAGCTGGACAGAGCAAGGAAACATGCCCCTCTGCAGGCCCCAGAAGGAGTACCGCCCTGCTGGCCCCTGGACTTTATTATTTATTTATTATTTTTTTTGAGGTGGAGTTTCACAGTTGTTGCCCAGGCTGGAGTGCAGTGGTGTGATCTCGGCTCACTGCAACCTCTGCCTCCCGGGTTCAAGCGATTCTCCTGCCTCAGCCTTCCTAGTAGCTGGGATTACGGGCACCCGTCACCATGCCCAGCTAATTTTTTGTATTTTCAGTAGAAATGGGGTTTCACTATGTTGGCCAGGCTGGTTTTAAACTCCTGACTTCAGGTGATCCACCCGCCTCAGCCTCCCAAAGTGCTGGGATTACAGTCCTGAGCCACTGCGCCTGGCGGGCACCTGGACTTTAGCCCAGTAAGACCTATCTTGGACTTCTGACCTCCAGACCTGTAAGCTGATAAATTCTTTTTTTTTTTTTAAGAAAAAAAATCTGAAACTCTGCAAAGATGATGAAAATCCACCCTGCTGTTTTTATATGACACAATAACAGAGAAACTACATCTTACTAGAGATTTTTTTAAATTATATAACTTAGCGCATACTTAAGTTCCAGGCTATGGGAGACAAGCCCTGCCTTCCAGCTTAGCAACTCATTTGGAAAGAAAGTATACAACCAGACAGCAAGCAAAAATAGAAGACAGGCAATTGAAGAGCAAGTGTGTGCAGTACTGATAATGAATGCTGGAAAGGCATGGAACCAGGTACAATCAAGGAAGGCAAGGGCAGCTCAGAATCTTCTGGAGCCCTGCTCTTATCTTCTACTATGTCTCAAAGCCATGTGGGGAGCAAGGGCATAATCTTGCTGATAGACAGCTCTAGACGCCAAATTCCAGAAGGTGTAAGATGGTTCTCCACTTTTTTCGTTGGATCACCCTTCCATTGAATTAGAGCAGCCTCAGATGAGTCCCCACTCCTCTCATTTTTCTATTTTATGCCCATCCCCGTCACCCCCCTGTCTCTCCTGGGTGGGCAGTGGAGAGTCTTATACTCACTGGCCTTCCATGGTGTTCCCGTGCATGGGACTTAGGCTTGCCAGATAAGCAAGCACCCACAAAATAATAAAGCAATCCTTTTCTGATTGCAGTCACCTCCCCTCAGCCTTCACCCATTGTCGGTGAAAAGGGCTGAGTGGGGTGGGATGATCATATAACCAACCCACCTGTCTGTATTGAGCAGACTTCAGGATCTGAAGAGGGGCTGGGAGGTGAGTGAGCTTGTGGAGAGGGGTAGAGAGCTCCCCGGGTTGGGAGAAAGCATCCTCCAAGGCCAGGAGGTCGAAGCAGCCACGTGTTATGGAAGGGGCAGGGAGATGGGCTTACCTGGGGCACAGGGCTCCTCTAGGGAAGATGAAAGAAAATGCTGGAAGTGAGAATGATAAGGTCCAGGCATGCTAGGAATATAGTAGTGACCAGTAGAAATTCGGGGAGCTATTCAAGGGAGTAACTGAATTATTCCATTTTCTACTTCTCAGTCCGGTTTGGGCATGATTTAATGTGGCTAAAGAAATGGAAGGTGGTTGCTGGAGGGAAGCCTAGGGCCACACGTGGGAATATTCCCGGTCCACCTCATGCCTCCTCTGACAGTGCTCAGAGCACTGCCCTGGAAATTCTGCTACAGAATCCCTAAGAGTTATTGCCAGGCCTTGGGCATAATTAATACACTTACTAGTCAGAATCGCATCCTGGTGTACACAGGTATGTCCCAGGGTGGGCAGCTCGGCTATTTGTCACATTTTCCAGGAGGCTGCCCGCAGCCCCACGCCTGCTGTGATTTTTGCAGCTCATCGCACAAGTGTCTGACCACGTTAGTGTTGATCCTGGGCCTGGCTGTCAGAGTGCACTCCCCCAAAGAAACATTTGTCTGGTTTTAAAAAAAGTATTTAGAGCTGAATTCTATACTCCCTGCTATGTGGACATCGAATGTAAATTATTTCAACCCTGTTCTTTGAATCAGTAGAGGCTGAACTATGAGTGCCTTTTTCTAAGTGAGTATTTCATGAGGTCTTTTCAGAAGGGCTGGTTCCCACTCAGCTCCTCTTCCATATATCATGATATTTCCTTGGTTCTCCACAATCCTAACGTGGAGAAGATGATCTATCTTGGTGGCAATATCTCATCCAGAATTTCTCTCATTTTTTAAGTGGGAAGAGGGATATTCACACATTCTGTAAATGTACTGGGTCCTTATGAAAATATTTTAAAATTTGGAGTGGAATTTAGTATAAGAAGATTCCATCTTGGACCCTAGCCAATGAGATTTAGGGGATTACTCAAAGACTTCATAATAAGACTGGGATACTTAAAGATTGTTCCTATGGGTAGGGCTCAAGTGACATAATATGGCCACTGTGTAACTGAGAAATGAACACAGAATTTGAAGAAATCATCCCAGTCTATACTGTAATAGGGAGGCAGCCTGCTAGATGGAATGGGATTTGTTAGGTAAAATGGATACTGGTTTTATTTCTATTTAAATGGTGAACTTTGTTCTTCTGCTCTTCCAAGTAGCTTCCATAGTGGGACACCAATTTCCACTTAAGAGCATGAGTCCTGGAGTCAGATGGCTGGGATTTGAAACTCAGCTGTACTCCTTCTTAGTTGTGAGACCTATGCACAAGTTACTTAACATCTCTAAGCCTTCACTGTATGATCCAGAAAATGATAGCTATACCACCACCACTGCTAACAACAAACAATTGTAATCCAGCTCATAGGATTACTTTAACACTTAAATCATGTAATTCATGCGAATTGTTTAGTCTAGTATCTGGCGTATATTAAGCAGTCAAAGATACTAGCTTTTGTTATTAGTAAGAGCAGTGTAATATTTTATATTGTTTGTAATGAGTTGAAACATTCAGAGTATTTCAATAGGGATCACACTGATGATGGCAAAATTCTTAAAAAGAGTCAAAAACACCACAAATTTTGGATGATAATCAGGAATGAAGTATTTGCTTTGTCCCTTCTAGGCATCCTCACTGTAGTTAGCTCTACAGTGATTTATTGCTGGCTTACAGAAGAAGCCCTTCATCCTTCTTCGGTTTGGATACATGCAAAAGTGTGTATGTGTATGTGTACATACTTATGGATCCTGGGCCTGGCTGTCAAATTGCACTGTTTCCTGTGTACACTGTTGCAAAATGTAGAGAGAAGCATTCTGTCTGTCAGTGAGAATGTCGCAGAAAAAAGAGAGCTCTCTTTAGTCCTTTCAGATAAACCACAGTCCATTGAAAGAACTTTTTCTTAACTCCAAAGCCAAGTAACCAGCACTGGGTCCAATCACCGTTCAACAATCCGGCCTTCCTTCTTCTGCGGGGTGAGCTCTAAGTATGGTCCCTAGGGAATATGGAAAATTAGACAACGGAAATAAAATAATTTATCTTTATTCCCCCTTGAAGTCAGAAGCTGCAGAAATAAAGGGAACCAAGATACTTAAAATAGGACCTATGTAGGTTTTAGGGGACAAAGTGACAACAATCATATGTATGGCTTAAAATAGCACACTTCAGGTTAGAACTGTTAGGCAAGGGAAGTGATACCGGTACTAGTCCCAGCTGCTTAAAGGAAGATAAGATCTCTATTCCTCATTGCAAAAAGATTTGCCTTCTGATTACTCGTCACTCATTTTGGCCACACAGACAGAACCAGACAGAAATCTGGAGGAAAACTGAATTGGGAAGAGACAGAAAAGATGGGCAACAAAAAGGCACACTATTGATATTAATTGGGATTAGCACCTCTGATTTATGGAGTGGTTTTCAACAATATTTGGTGGGGCCTCTTCAAAAAGTGGGCATGGCAATTATTTGAAGGTGAAGTTTTGGGAAAACCTAGGCAAGGGTGGGAAGGGATTTCCCTGACAGTTTTCTCTGCTTTCCTGTCTATCCTGAGAGTTGACAAGTGCCGGGGCTGCTGCTGGGAACACGGTGCTCCTAGCACCCTTTCTCAGGGGAGCCCCAACTGTTCAGCCACAGTCTTTTATGCTTTGAAAAATAAAATAGGTGAAGAGTCAGGAATGTTCCAGGAGAAAGAAACAATAATTGCAGTCCCTAACCAGGGAAAGATTTTGATGTATTTGGGAAACTGAAAGAAGACCAGTACAAATGGAGAAGAAAAAGTTGATGGAGAAAAAGGCAGGCAGTGGATAAGAGGGCTAGGCAGGGGCCAGTTCATGCTTATGAACTCGCAAGGTCATGTGAAGGAGTTTAGATGCTGATTGGAAGTGTATTCATAAACCGCTGGGGACTTTTAAGCTGGGAAATTACAAATTATCTGATATATATTCACATTTAGGAAGATCTCTAAGTAACCCCAGGACATTCCGTGAAAGGCTAAGTTATTGATAGACCTTATCAATACTCAACCCAAGATCTGGGAAGCAAGTTGGAGTGATAACACTCTGTCCCCCAACATTATCCAGTCTGTTGGAGGGCACATCATTTCAGTGGTCCATCTTCACCACCCTGTCATGGCAACAGGTCTTTATTCAAAAATCAAGCTTACTATTTTAAGGAAGACTGGGAAATATTCTGTATCCCAGGCCCCAGGTTAAGATATTGAAGGGGAAGGTCCAAATGAAATTGCACCTTGGAGATTTTCCGGATTAGAAAATCCCAAAAGTGTAACCTGGAGAGAACATAGGGACTTCTTGAGACTTTAACAAATCTTCTAAATGCCACTAAAGTTTGCTTCAGGTCCTTTTAGGTTAGTCCAAATCTGGCTATAATAAACTGTAAGAAAGCAACAGATCCCACTCTAAGGTTCCACCTATTTGGAGCAAAAATAGGTAAAAAACAGGTTTATGTCTTTACCAGTCAGCTTGGGTTTAGTTATGCTGCAGTAACAAGCAGCCCTCAATTCTCAATGTCTTAACAAAAACAAGATCTTTTCTTTCTCAAGTCATAGTTTGCAGGCAATCTGAGCTCTACTCTATGTCATTTGATTCCAGAGCCTAGGCTGAAGGAGCAGTTCCTGTCTGTGCCTCTGTCAGCCTCATGGCAGAGGGAAAGAGCAATGGTGAGACCATGTGTTAGTTTTGAAAGCCTCTGCTCAGGTACGGTACAGGCCACTTTTACTCACATTTCATTGCCCAAAGCAAATCAAATAGCCAAGCCTCATCTTGGCAAGGAGGAAAGTATAATTGTTCTGCAGGCCCTGGTCTGTAGGGAGAACATTGAATATTATAAACCAGTGATACAGTCTCTAGCAATGCCATACTTCGCTTTCTCCCTTTTTTGTGTGTTGACTGTAAGTTGGAAATTGAGTGATGATCTTACATTTATAGACCTGAAAACTGTCAGATAACGTAATTCAGATATGATTCAATCTCTGAAAATTAGCATCATAGGCATTCCTTTTTAAAGGATAAGTTTCTGAAAGTCTGATATAAGCAGTTTAGAAGTGGTTAAACAAAAATTTACTAGAAGAAAAGTCCATTTAATAAAGCAAAGTTCTCAATTTCTAATCTGATGTTGTACCAATCTCTCAAAAATCTGAAACTTACTGCTAGGAGGATTTTCATGCAGGAAAAGAAAGAGAATCTTATATTTCTTTCTTCAAATTAGAGTGAATGAGATAAAAAGAGTATACTGGTACCATAATTTTAGCCAACATTATGTTTTATTTAAGAGAGTCTATATTTTGTGGTTAGCTGTGACATATGAAACTTCATTTCCACCAAGGATGAAAAAAAAAACAAAGCAAAGCAAAACACAAACATGGCTTATGGGAATCAAGGAAAGAAGATGGCAAAGATGAAATGCACGTCACATTGAGTTGAGGCCCTGTCAGCTCATGCCTGGATGATTGTGGTGGCCCCTCCACTCCGGCCCTGACACCGCTTCCCCCTGAGGTCTATTCTCCACACAGCAGCAGCCAGAGTGGACCATCTGAAACGTAAATTGTATCATGTGCTGCTCAGAACTCTCTAACGAGACTCTCAGCTCACTCTGAATGATGCCCAAAGTTCTTCCCATGGACTGGGCGATCCTATGTGATTCATACTCTGATTGCCTTTCTGATCCCTTCTTTCACAACTAATCCCGCTCTCCCACTCCACTGCATGCACACCGGCTTCCTTACTTCTCTTCCCAGACTGCCAAACTTCTGCTCTCTTGGGACCTTTGCACTGGCTGTTCCCTCTATTAGGGTCTCTCGCTTTATCCAAGAGGCCTCTGCTGGCCACCTGATCTAAAACAGCACCTGATCCTCTGTTCCTGTACTCTGCTTTATTTTTTGTTCTCAGCATATATTACTACCTGATTTACCATAGACATGCTCATTCTCCACCTCCTTTCACTAGATTGTAATCACCAAGAGAGGGACGACTTCATTTCTTTCACTATTTTATCCCCGATGCCAAAAACAGTGACTGGCACCTAGTAGATGCACAATAAAATGAAATAAAGGAATGACTGCCGCTGTTCCTAATTTCATCAGATCTGTGTAAATATTTAATATGCCATTATACAGAAATTGTACAGAGTACAGAAATTAACAAAAATGTACTTCCCTGCCTAAAAGATTAGCTACATAAAAATATGATTAGAAAAAAAACCCTACATATTGAATGTTTTAAAACAAAACAAAAAATTTTCTCTGCTTTTTGTTAATTTTCTTCTGTAAAGTGTCGGTGTTTACAATACCTGGAAGTGTAACAGAAGATCACAGAGTCCTGAATCATGGGTTGGATGAAACACGAAAAAGCCATTGGATGCATTTCCGCGTGAATGATTGGCTATTCTTTGTAAACTGATCATAGGAAATTATGGTTATAACAACAAGTATGAGAGTGAAAAAATGTAGCAAATATAGGAAACACAGGAAAAGAACCAGTGGAGCTGCTTAAAAATGAACCCAGGCCGGGCACAGTGGCTCACGCCTGTAATCCCAGCACTTTGGGAGGCCGAGGCGGGTGGGTCACCTGAGGTCAGGAGTTTGAGACCAGCCTGGCCAATGTGGTGAAACCCCATATCTACTAAAACATACAAAAAAATTAGCTAGGCATGGTGGCCGGCACCGGTAATTCCAGCTAATTTGGGAGGCTGAGGCAGGAGAATCGCTTGAACTGGGGAGGCAGAGGTTGCAGTGAGCCGAGATCATGCCACTGCACTCCAGCCTGGGCGACAGGACCAAAACTGCATCTAAAACAAAAAAAGAACCCAGGGTCTGAACAGGTCGATCAAACAACTACCAGAAGGATGACTTTGTGAAGGTAGTAAACAGTCAGGCTAAGATCAGATCTGCTGTCAAGCTGCACACTCTGATGTGGGCTGTGCAAATGAGTTGCAGATCAGGACTTTAGTAACCTTGGAAAGTCACGTCCTGAGTTCCCCTGTTCTTCTGTTGCCGTGAAGACAACTGCAACCACTTTTCCCCACTTTGATGTCACCCTCTGGTGAGCTGCCAAACCATGCATGAGTTGTTCCATCCGAGCTTTTGTGCACGTGGAGAGCTGGTGACTGACTGCATAAGGTACTGGATGCCTGGCTTCTCCACGTAACTCTAAGCTCCTGAAGGATGCTGGCTGCGCTTAAATTTGTATTCTATCCAGCTCAGCCCCCTATAATGACACATGGTGAGTCCTTCCTATATACTCACTGAAAGAATGACATTATGGAAAGATTGAGTTGGATTTTCTCTGGAGATTTAACTAATCCTTTACAGTGATTATTAGTGATCAAGATGCTTGACTCTATTACTTGAGTGTAGAGATGATTGGCCGTGACCACAGAGCCCTTAGCTTAGTAAAGTTCTCCTCATCCCTACAAAATGGAAGCCCTTGGCCAGGCTGAGTGCCTTGGTCCTGCAGGATGAGTGGATCTCACAAGGCGGCCTTGAGGAAGAGATCCCAAGCTGAGCTGGCCACGGCCACCTTCCTTGCTAAAGTAGAGAACACTGTGCATGTGTACAGGTTTTATCTTTGGCTGGTAGGGCCTGGAATTGTTAGCAAGGCCCGTGTCACACACAGAGCACATCATGTGCTTCCCTTCCAGCTGTGAGACAATGCAAACATCTTCATCTTCCACCCAAGCTGTCAGACCCTGTAGCTTCAGAAGGCTAGACCCAGACGATGAGCTAAAAGTTCATCCTTGCTCTTTTCTGTTAGACAGTCTAGGGGCAAGGTATTGTTTGCATGTTCAAAAAGGCAGAGAGGAGAATTCATGCATGTAAAATGCATCGTATAGTGCCAGACACATAATGGATGCTCCATAGAGGTCATCTCACATAACCTTTGCCATAACCTTGCCAAGTAAATATTTTCATCCTCATTTTAGAGGCAAAGAAGTCAATACTCAGAGAGGTTAAGTAACTGTCCATGTCAGTCATGGTTCTGGCAGGAAAACCAAGACCCACTCCAAAGGGTTTAACAGAAGAAAATTTAATGAAGGGCACGCTTTACAGAGGTGTAGTCAGGCTTACAGGTGCTATCTAGGGATGGCGAGACACCTGGGGATGAACAGTTCTGGGGAGCTGTGACTTGCCCTAGGCCTGAAGGGCCAAAGGTGGGGATGAAATTTGCAGAGCCTACGAGTGCAGGTGCTATGGAAGAGGGATGCAGCCTCGTTCATGCCACACGTTGGCCGATGGGAAGGCCCAGTACAAGGAGTGCAGGTGATCCTTTCTGTCTCTGGGGTTCAACTTCTCAGGTAAGGCAGCAGGGAGGATGGGTTTTGGGGGTAGGCGGTGATCCGAGAATAACAAGAGCATCTTCCAGTGTCTCCAGCTAGTGGTACTGGGTGCAGGGGGTGGGTTTGTAGCCAGCTGTGACTCTGAAGTCTTGTAGTCTTTGCTAAGAAGAGAAAAGGAGGAGAAAATCTTTTCTTCTTTTCTTCCCTACATCTCAACTTCCCCTTTTGTGTTTTTCCTTCCTTTTCTCCCTTCTTTCCTCCCTCCTGCCCTTCATCCTCCTCCCACTTTCCCTTCTTCCCTTCCCTCCCTCCCTTCTTTCCTCTCTCTCTTCCACCCTTACCCTGCCACAAAATGTAAGGCACTGGAACACAAATAAATACAACCTGACTCCCACCCTCGAGGTACTTATGGCAACATCATGTTAGGATGGAGCCCGTTCCATTAAGGGCACTCTGTTTAAAGCTCTGAGTACAATTTTCTTTAAAATTTCATTTGTAAAAAGGCTTCATATGTGAAGTCCTTGGCGATCCCCCAGGCAAAAGTGCAACCTAAGTGTACCTCCTCTTTCTCTAGAGCCTTCGAGGGCTCGCACATCAGAAGCTGCCTCACTTCAACTGACCAAGCCCCAAGCTTTTGCTGCTATATCCATCCATTTACTTTTCAATCGTTTTTCACTTTGTTTCGTACCTCGAAGGACTTAGATCCTTATGTTGCCCTATTTTGGGGACACTTACCCCTGAGAGTTTTCTTGGGAAAGTGGGGTGCTTGGGACAAAGCCCTGTAACCAGCTCCCCATTGTCTTGTCCAGGGAGACCCTTGCCAGATAAGAGCAGGGTCAGAATCAGAGTCAGAATTCCCCCTTGGCCTTCCTACCTTCTTGTGCTTTGAACCAGGGCAAAACACTTCTTTTTGCTGCACCCTCATTTATAAAAGGGACATAATGGCCCCTTTTCCTTGGAATGGGAGTGCTGGAGGCTTCTGTGCATTTCCAAAGTACTTGAAGGCCTCCCCAGGCCACCCGGCTCCTTGCTTGGTGAGTGGAAAGTGCAGGGCAGGCCGCTGTGCTCTTTATATTGTGCCCCTTGTTCACCAAGCACGTCCACTTCAGGCTGCTGCACACACTCACCATTCTCCTTGGTATTATTGACTTAAGTACTCTTCAAGAAAAATTTCTCCAAGGCTCCCATGTTGACATCCTGCTAGCGTTTCGAGAGCCAGCCGTGCTAGCTATTTGTTGCTTTGGATGAAAGCCTGCAATCGCTCTATTAAACATTCTCCATTTAATGAGAGGAGGAAGGAGAAGCCTATGCTGCAAAAGGAACTGGATTTTTCCACAGTGCAGGTTGATGTGGGAAGCATTCCAGTGTTGGGTCAAGCTTGCTGGGCAACTAACTCCTGGGTCATGTCAGGGTACTGGGTTGCAGTGACTCAATGTCTCTCCCTCTCTCCAGTCTGCCCAGCAAAAGGATTTGGCCTTCGGACTTACCTGCTTTCTCTAACTCTCTGCCACTGTTTCCCACATCAGTTCTTGCCTCTTGCCTTTTTGCCAGAGAAACCAGCAGAAAGAAGAAACTTGGCGATGGAGAGAGAGCATCTCACATGCTTCATGGGGGAGGAAGGACCGATATTGGTATGAATGGAATCTAGACTTCTGTGTGTATCAGGGCAAAGCAGCAATACTTTTTTTCTGGCAGACCAAGGGCATCCTTGGCAGGCAGCCCAGGGAGGTAGAACAGGTACCTGTCAAAGAATTAGAAAACATGGATTCATTAATCTGGACTTTGTCTAGAGCCAGTTTTGTGACTTTGGAAAAATCACTAAACATCTCCAGATCCCAGTGTCCTCAGTTATAAAAATGAGAGATGAATATCAATGTCACAGGGTTTTTCGTGAGGTTCACTCATTGATTCAGCAAATATCTATTGGGTGCTGTCACAGCAGATGAGACTCAGTGTTGACTTTCGGTATGTTTCCATCTGTGGGGGACATAGACAGGAAATAGATAGAAACAATAGCATGTTATGAGTGAATACAGTGTGCTGTAATAGGAATGAGGAGAGAGCGCCACATCACAGGAGAGGCACTTGCCCCAACTTGGGTGGTTAGAAAAGGCTGCCTGAAAGAGGCCACAACTAAAGTGAGAACTGATGGATGGAAGAATTTGGCTTGCAAAGGGGTGTAGATACCAGACAGTGCATTGCCCATCAGTTCGGAATGGCTGGAGTGGACAGTGAGGAAGGGCAATCAGGGCCCGGGATATGGGCACTGATGGAGACGGCGGGGTGCCTGCCTGGAGATTTAGGCAGCCACACTGTGCAGGGATGGCATTAAGAGGTTCACATCATCCTGGGGCATCGTGGAGCCATTGAATACTTTTAAGAAAGGGATGACAAAATCAGATTTGTGCTATAGAAAAGTTACTTAAGGCCAGGCCCATTGGCTCATGCCTGTAATCCCAGCACTTTGGGAGGCCGAGGTGGGTTGATCGCCTGAGGTCAGGAGTTCGAGACCAGCCTGGCCAACGTGGAGAAACCCTGTCTCTACTAAAAATACAAAAATTAGCCAGGCGTGGTAACGGGCGCCTGTAATCCCAGCTACTCAGGAGGCTGAGGCAGGAGAATTGCTTGAACCCAGGAGGCAGAGGTTGCAGTGAGCCAAGATCGCACCATTGCACTCCAGCCTGGGCAACAAGAGTGAAACTCCATCTCAAAAAAAAAAAAAAAAAAAAAAAGGAAAGAAAGAAAGTAAAAAAGAGAAAAGTTACTTAAGCTGCTTAAGCTGAAGTATGGAAACTGAGTTAGAGAGGACGTGCCAGGGATTCTTCATTTGCCCCTACAGACTCACTTGCTACTTGTCTTCATTCTTCTCTGAGCACCAGTAAGCTGATGTTTCTTAGACTGCTTAACAGGTTGATCTGCCCTCTGGTTTCCAGGCAGTTTCAGCCCATAGGAGGCAGGAGCAGGAGATAAGAGGGTGGGAGGAGAGAGAAATCGGGGTATCTTTTCCCCAGCTCCCTCCCTGCCATGGCTTCAGATTGGCAATGGCTCTGTTCCCCTGCTGTGAGCCACAGTCCTGCCTGGCAGACCTTTCTCCTAGCCACGGTTTTCTTTCTGAGTTACATGTAATAATAACAGCTCCCTTCAGGTTCAGGTGCCTAAGGCTTCCCACTGTTGCTAGCCCCATGGTGACTCTCCATCTTTGTTGGCTTCATTAACTCTGCAAGAACCTTTGTAAACAGGGATTCTTCAAGTACCCACGCCATGTGCCATCTGCTGGGACCCTGCCCGCAGTAGAGAGGGCTACCGCTGGAGCAGGAGGAGGCTGCTGCAACCACATGCAGGCAATACTGGGGACATGGCAGAAGGGAGTCCGTGGATTCTGAAGATATTTAGGAGACATAAGCAATAGGACTTAGATGTTAGATGGGGGTGAGGGAGGGAAAGCTGTGAATGGCTTTTGGGTTTGGCCTCTGCACCTGGAGGATGGTGGTGGTATTCATGGAGGTGCCAGCAGGACTGGGGCAAATAGGTTTGGGGGTGGAAGGAAATACAGACAGGTTTTTAAATGGAGTAATTGGCATTAGAATATAAAAATCTGGCATTTAGAAGAGGAATCTAGCCTGGAGATTCATTAGTGTAGAGATGGTAAAGGCTGTAAAAGAAAGTGTAATCCCCCAGGCAGAATACACAGACTGAGAAGAGAAGGAAGATGAGGGAGTTGTTCTGAGGAAGAGAAATTTGGAAGGGCTGGGAGGATGGATGTACTGGGGACTGAGAATACATGGATAACTAGATGGAAAACCCTCCCTTATAAAAAACTAAAGGAAGAGAAGTTCAGAAAGTAGGAAGGATCATGGAGTTCAGGAGCAAGGGCATGGCTGACCTTGGTTGGCCTTGACAAAATCCATTTCAGCAGAGTTGCTAGAGATCCAAGGAAAGGTTCATTGCACGTATGTTGGTAACTTAGGGGGTGGGAACATGGTGGTTTGTGTGCCCTCTGGGAAGTCAGACTTGGGGTCTGCTGAGAGCGAGGGGAAGAGAGGAGGATCACCAAGGCAAGTGCCACACAAGGCTATGCATTTCCTTTCTTTTTTGCTGCTTATATGTGGAGTCTGTTTTCTAAGTAAGGAGGGCTGAGGCCACAGAAGCAGAGGCAGGAAGGTTCCAGAAGCTGAACAACTCTGTAGCAGGCCCAGAACTTCCCCTAAGATTTTTCCAATTATATGAAACGTGGTGTGGTAGGGAGCTTTATTGTCCTGTCAAAGTCCTCTCTCTGGCCACCAGACGGCTTTTCCTTTCGTGAAACACAGATAGGAGTTTCAATTCCATACATATATATTGAGAATGCAGTATACAAAAGTCTCAGAAATGGCTCTAAAACAAAATTGCTTTTAAGAGCATGTGGGTGTGCAAGGCATGTGCCTCCTATTTTTTTTTTAATGATGTTAAAATTCACAGAAACAAAAAGTGTACCGTGTTGGACATTTGTAAGTGGTAGTTTAAGTTCAGTAGTGGTACATAGATTCATATTGCTGTGTTAGCCAATCTCCAGAACCCTTTTCATCTTGTAAAACGGAAACTCTGTACCCATTAAACAACTGCCCATCCCCACTCCCTTAGCCCCTATTCTGCTTCTTGTCTCTCTGAGTTTGGCTACTCTAGGGACCTCATGCAGCGAGATAACACGGCGTGGTTGTCACGCATTCTCCACAGTTTTGCTTTCTGCAAGTTCGCTTACCCTCAGTCAACTGAGGTGCAAATATATTAAATGAAAAATTCCAGAAATAAACTATTCAGTCCCTATGCATGGCTCATGCCTGTAATCCCAACACTTTGGGAGGCTGTGGCAGGCAGATTGCTTGAGGCCAGGAGTTTGAGACCAGCCTGGGTAATATAGGGAGACTCTGTCTCTGTTTTTAAAAAAATGAAGTTTATAAATTTTATACTGCATACCCTTCTGAGCAGTGTAAGGAAATCTAGCACCATCCTGCTCTGTCTGGCTTGAGACCTGAATCCTCCCTGTGTCCAGTATTTTCACACTGTACACTTATGCATGTATAGGAAAAAACAGTATATATAGTGATATGGTCTGGCTCTGTGTCCCCACCCAAATCTCACCTTAAATTGTCATCTGAATCATAGTCCCCATGTGTTGGGGGAGGGACCTCATGGGAGGCAATTATATCATGGGGGGCAGTCCCCCCAAGCTGTTCTCTTAATAGTGAGTGAGTTTTCATGTGATCTGATGGTTTTATAAGGGGCTTTTCCCTTCTTTGCTTGACACTTTTTCCTCCTGCCATCATGTGAAGGCGACATGTTTGCTTCCCCTTCTGCCATGATTGTAAGTTTCCTGAGGCCTCTCCAGCCATGCTGAACCATGAGTCAATTAAACCTCTTTCCTTTATAAATTACCCAGTCTCAGGTATGTCTTTATTAGCAGCGTGAGAACAGACTAATACATATGGAGTTCAGTACTGTCTACGGTTTCAGGTACCCACTGGGGGTCTTGGAATCTAACCAGGAGGATAAGGGGGATCACTGTATTTGTCTTTCTGGGACTGACTTATTTCGCTGAGCATAATGTCCTTCCAATTCATCCAAGTCATAGCCTGTGTCAAAATGTCCTTCCCCTTTAAAATAGCGTATTCCTATTTATTGTGTTGTAGTGTGTTTCCCAGTTCACAAAGGCATTCATACTTTTCTTTCTTCCACACTCCTTTTCTCTGCATTGCAGCCGGGAGTGGTTATTGCCCCTGGGCTACAGCTAAGGAAACAAGCCTCAAGGCTGCAAGACCACACAGAGAGCCGGGGACCAGAACATGCCTCGGGTCACTGGGTCCAGCACACTTTCCCTGAAGCTCAGCTGCATGTGCAAAGCCCTCGCTGAACTTGGGAGCAGTTCACAGGGCACAGGCAAGGGGAAGACATCCTGGGGTCAGAAGACCCCCCAGGCAGAGAGAACAGATCCAGCAGCAAGTCAGCAAAAGGACACAAGTGGAGGGAAGGCTAGGTGGCAGAGCCCAGCTCTGGTCCCAGTCCAGGTAGTTGGCCCTGCTCACCCTGGCCACTCACTGTGTCTCTAGACACAGGAAATGGGATTACCAGGCCAGTCTCAGGAGTTGGGTGAGGACACAGCGCTTCAAGGCTGACCAGCCCTGACAAGGCGAATCCTCCAGGTTGTTCATCAGTGATTAGAGCAGCTGTCCAGGAGGGACAGGTAATGAAGTAGGGATCTGAAATATGCAGTGGTGGCTGTAGGCACGCTGCCTGTGATTGCTGCCAGTGGGAGCCAGGAGCATTAATGAACTGAGTAAACTCCCTTCCCTTGGAAGATTTGTATTTGGGGCGTCTTGCTGGGGTGGTGGGGCTTACCTCTGAAGCTGGCATCTCACCTCTGTCAGCATTCTTGGCCAGTCCACCAGACAGTTCTGAAGAAGAAAAGACCTTGTGCTTTGGGGAGCTCACCACCCCTCCTGAGCTCTAGCTGCTTTCTGGTTGCCAATGGCCGTGGTAATGCTCCAGTTCCTGAAATAGCTAAATAAACCGCACCACTGACATTTAAATCAACGTTCTCTGGGACCTGGGCTTGGTCAGAGCAGGAAACAAGCAGGGGTTTGCTGCCTCTGGTTCCAACTGGGAAACTGCCTCCTATACTACTCAGCTCTATCCTCTCATTTGGGGACTCTTCTGGGACATTTGCTATTTGTCATGGCTGGGGCCTGGGATATCCTAGTTAATCACATATTCTGGTTAAAGGTGAGCAATTAGCTATTCACAGAGCACAATTTTTCAAAAGGCTTAGAATGCTAGAAAATATACTCAACAGTAAATTACAAGTGACATAATCCAATCTAACTTTTAAAACACTGAAGGCACTTTTATTTCTTTAGGAGCATCAGTGTGAACCCTAAGCACTCAAGAATTGAGAAAACATGCAAACACTAGTTAATAAAATGCTGGATAAACAGCTTCTAATGAATTTCCCATGTCTTGATTCTGTCATTTTTTTTTTTTTTTGAAAAGGCACTGGGCATGTTTGAAGATGATTAAGATTGTGTAAACTAATAGAGGAGAGTTGACTTTAGGGGCAACTTCAACCAAATCTGCATTCAACACACAATTCCCCTCTTTAAACTTTCTGACATTTTCTCCCTGCCTTTGCTTTGGCATCAGGGGCTCGCTCCATTCTATTTAGTAGTTTACTTTTGGAAAATCTTTCTTTATTCTCACCTTGGAAACCATAGGAAATAAGTCTCCTCTCCCTGTTTTCATAGAATCAGAACATTCATACATCTTTGTTTCCAGTTTCCTTTTAGCTGAACCTGTCAGTTCCTGCAAACTTCCTCAAATATTTGCAGACCCTCTTTTGAATATTCTCTTGTGTGTGGGGGTTCCAAAGAGAACTATGAAGGCACACATGGTAAATGTGATGCTGAATGCCATGAAACCATCATGTCCTTCCTTCTGGATTGTATGCTTCCATGATAGTGCCTGTGAGCTCTTTCTGGGATCATTCTCCCTGAGTTCAAATCCTGGCTCTGCTACTTACTACCTCTTAACCTTGAGCAAGCAACTAAACTCTTGAATGCTTGGTTTCCTCATCTACGAAAGAGGCTAATTATAGTATCAACCTCACAGCCTCACAAGATTATGGCAATTGACATCATACGTGTAAATGCTTAGCACACACTTGGAAGATAGTAAAGGCTCAATCAGTGTAGCTGCTTGTAGAACAGCTGGCATGAAATCACACAATGAAGCCTAAATGGCCGGGTTCACATCCAAGCACAGGTTCAAAATTTGACCCACCACCTATGAGATGAATTTGTAAGTGGCTTAAATGCTTTGTGCCCCAGTTTTCTTATCTGTAAGATGGAGATCTAGGGTTTGTATGAAGATTAAATGGAGCTGTTATATGTAAGATACTTGAAACAGAGCCTGGAAAGTAAAAAGGGCACATGAAAGCTATTATTATTATTATTATTATTATTATTATAGCTTGAAAATGCATCTTATTTTTAAAAGAAGTCACATCAAAAGGTTGACTCACATTGGAGCTATGGTCACCAACATACTGGTTCCCATGGCCCCTCTTCATCTGTGTGTGGAGAATTCTCATCCTTTTTTTTTTTTTTTTTTTTTTTGGTGGCTCAAACTACCACCTTAGCAGAATGTCTTGAACATGGTAAGTGCTTTTAGAATTCTTGGCCTTTGGAATCACGTCTATCTTTCCTCTGTACTATTTGAAATCTGCTTTCCTGGATTCTGGATAGTTTGATTGCATACTTTGTCTTTAGACTGTGCTTGAGAGCTGCTGCTCCTGAAACTGCTTGGATCCTTCCTGGTAGAACCAATTCCCCACGACATTGCACCCACCACTGTACGATGTATTTACATAACCTCACCCCCTGTTAAACTGTAAGCCCTCAAAGCAGGACTGTGCTAATTCATTTTTCTATATTTATTACATACAGGCCTCACCCCTCCATGACTATAAACTGGGGGCACATTTAGAGTAATACCGAACTTCTTCATGCTCTTGGCCTACTGCCAATTGGCAATAAATTATTCTTTTTCCAGAAGCGCTTAGCATAAAGGAAGGCCTAAAAATGTTTTGGAATAAATGCTGTGCTTAACCTAGCCGGGAATCCCCACCTGCAACAAAAGTGATAATGTTGGAGAAACTTGTCTCAACTGAAAAGTATTTCCAAAATGATTATTATCATGACTTTTAAATTAGCAAAGTTACTTTTCCAAGAGCATTTTCTTTTCTATATCCCAGCTAGCATTTTCAAGAAATTTCAGAATTAAGTCAGCAAGAGAAAAGAGAGATAGCTATCTTTATTTTTTTCGATCTTATTCCAGGTTAGAGACTCAATTGTTTCTTAAAATAAAATACAAACTTATCTTTTGTTTTCAGCAAAGGGACACTTACATGAGATACGTAGATTAAAAGATTTTCATTGCTCCTATATGTTGCGTTTAGGCCAATTTTGTTACTGAGGGAAAGTATTGAACTAGTTCTTCCTGTTGCCATACCCGGCTCTAATTTCCAACTGCAGCTTCTTCATATAATTATTTTAACCTGATTTTTTTTTTACCTGAAATTGAAATATTAAGCAAAGATACCACAAACAAAGTCAAAAGCAAACAACTAGGAAGAATATCTGCAGCATATATTATGGACAAAATATTAGTATCGAGTTAGTAAGGTAAAGACAAATACACCAATATAGAAATGGGCAAAGAATATGAATAGGCAATTCACAGAAGAAATGCAAATATTCAGTCCATAATTAAAAGTTGCTCTATTTCGTTAGTAATCAAAGAAGTGGAAATGTAAAATGTAATGAGATTTTTTTTTTACCTATCAGACTGACAAGATTAAAATGAATAAAAATGGCTAGTATTAGTGTGGAATTAGGAAATGGAATTCTCAAGAAGTAGTTGAAAGGAACATAAACCTCATGTAGCATTTTAACAACGTTCATTGAGAGCTTTCAAATGTTAGTACTTAATGATACAATTTTACTTTAGAAATACATTTGTAAGAAAAAAATCTGACAATTGTGCAGAGTTAATATGTAAAAGGTCTGACACAAAAGAACTCTGAAGGATCATAAATCTCTGTGGTTAAGAGAGTAGACAAATATATTGCTTAACATCCATAAAAGAGAGTGCTATATATTCATTAAAAAGGAAGAAGTGGAGGCATATCTCTAAAATATACATTTAAGAGAAAAAACAGATGCCAAAAATGGTATGGTCTGGTATGATATATCTTTATTTTATAAGAAAAACAGAAAAAAATGGCTGAGAATAAGAGTACATTTATTTGCTAGTATATATACTTCTGTACTATTTGATATTTTAACAGTATGTCCTACTTTTATAATAGAAGACAAAAGCATTTCTACCTTGGAAAAAAGTATTGGGAAACTGTTGTGTTTCTGTGTGTGTGTGTGTGTGTGTGTGTGTGTGTGTGTGTCTGTGCGCACACATATCACAGGCAAATAAAGGAATCAATGTTTGCAAGGCAGAAAAGTACCATGATGTCCATGATGTCCAAGAATACATGGAAATGATGGGTACAGAAGAATGTAGAGGACTGTTAATGGCCATAAGAGCTCAGGAACTTAAAAGCTAGTGTCGGATGGTTCATACACAGAGAACTCGTAGCCGAGTCCTTAATGTATACTGAGGAATGACTTGGAGGTTGACAAAGAAGGTATAGGCAATAGCATTCCCAAATACTTGAAGTTTCGAAAGCTTCAGGGGATGCCTGCTTGCTATGGAGACCATCCCTTTCTTCATATTAGAGCCTCTGTCAATACAGAAGTTCACACCACAAGTTTTTCAGAATATAGTAACCAAGGCTTTCTGTTAACTCAAACTTGCCTTGGCCAATCAGTCTTCTTCATTTCTCCCTCCTATACCATCAGCCCTATATCTCTAATGTCCTTCAGGTCATCTCATCTCGGATATCCCACCAAAATGCCAAACATAACATGGATAAAGCTTATCAACATCCTCTCCAAACAAACGATCCTTTCCCACTTATCTCTCATTACATTCTCCTTATCTGCTTGGTCCGTGCTGTCCATTGTGGGGGCTACCAGCCACGTGTGGTTTTTGGGCACTTGGAATGTGGCTAGTCTGCATGGAGGTATGCTATAAGCAAAAAATAAACCCCAGATTTGGAAGACTTAATATGAAAAAAAGAATGTAAAATATAACATTAAATGATGATATTTTGGATATATTGTGTTAAATAAAATATATTATTGATATAATTTTATTTCTTTCTTTTACCTTTTAAATAGGGGTACCAGAAAGCTCATAATTACATATGTGGATTGCATAATTACATATGTGGATTGCATATTCCATTATAGTCATGTGAAGGCTACTCTAGACTGTGCAACCATGAGGTTATCCTTTTCCTGTTCTTGGGGTTTCATATGAAATCAATCAACAGGTGGTGACACCACCTCCTGGTCTTTTATCTGTCCTCTTCATGTCCTGACCACTGGGCTGGATAAGTCCTCTGCTTTGTAACAGCACCGACTGTACCTGGCTGCTTCCATCTCCTTTCCACTCCAGTCTCAACTCAGCTGCCAATGAGCAAACTCGATAACCTGAATAACTGAGAGCCAACCCCATTCAAACGCCCCTTGAGATAAAGAAGAAAACAAATAACCAAATAAACTCCCTGAATAACTGCACTGTATATAAAGAACCAATGTGCTAGAAACTGAGGAACCAGCCATTCACTTAATTTTATAGGCTACCCTTAATATCAACAAACGCCTCTCACCAACAAATGAAATACTCCTTAAGAAAGAAACAGGATGCCCTTTATAAGCACAGGTGGAAGGAAATGCAGCCTCTGACCGTCCAAACCACAAACAGACACACACAAATTCTCTTTGCAGTTTTGTTTCAGTTCAATCTTAAAGACATTCAGGGTCCTGGCCTCCTTTTGAGAAGGGTTAGGTATAGCATAAGCACAGTTCTGGTCCTGGACTCTCAGCTTTGGGGATCATGACTTGACAAAAAATTTCCATAAAGTCCAAATTCTTCCTCATGCAGCGAAATAGCCAATGGTAAGAAGGTAACAATGGAAATAGCCATTCAATAGATTAGATCTTGGAGATGACTAGGAATGACTGAAGGTAAAGATAATCTTTATCAATTTTAATTCTCTTCATCCATTCCTGCCTGTCCCATGGCAGCATCCAGCAGATGTGAGGGGCACACGTGGGCTCAAGCAGAGGCTGGACACCCTTTGCAAGACAGAGCACCTCCTCTCCAGCCAGCACTGCTTCACTTCTTCTGAAGGGTTGACCAGTCGTCCTGCAGCCCTGCCCTGCTGCTTAAGTAGAGGCTAAAAGTTGGTATAGTCTGTGCAAAGAACCTACACACAGGAGCCTCTAGTTCCTGGTGGAAACACTGACCTATGACCACTTCAGAAAGAAAGACAAGCCTCTCAACCAGGCTATCAGGAATGATTCTCTGTTGGGTCCCCAACTGATGACTATAGAATAACAAGATCATTTTGATAGGTTATAAATCCAAACTGATCTCATTTTCATTTTCAGACTCACACCTCATAAATGTGTCCTTCTTGACTGGTTGAACGTGCCAATTTGGAGAGCAAGGTTGTCACCGTGGCAGTAGATCTTCTTTCTAATCATAAATACCAAGTGCATTTAGCACCATGCAGAACTCCAGAAGAGAATGTCAATGGATTCCCTTTGCTGTATCCTTAACATGAATTTCTGCACACACACACACACACACACACACACACACACACACGAACACTCCAAATTTCCACAGATGTGAAGTTAGGCAAAAATGGAGGCCCAGGTCAGCCTGAGGGGAGGGTGTGGTCACGTGGGGAGGATCTAGAATGCCTGCCTTTGGTGTTGCTAGCAGATTTACAGGAGTCTTATTTGTTCTTTCTTTTTTTCTGAAGCACCAGGTGGCAAAGCCAATTTCTTTCTCTTGAGGGCTGTCTTGTGAGTAACTGCCCATCTGCCAGCAACAAAAAGGAGGAGGCCTCAGGCCGTGCTCCACACTCACCTCCTCATGCTGCCCCAACAAAGACAGTTCATCCCTGGCCTGCAACAGGTCCCTCTTGAGATTGGTGTGAACTCCTCAGGCTGATCAGAACATATTTCAGCTGATGTTGGATTTGCTATGATTGTATCACACTGACTAAAGTGTCTGGTAGACGTAGACTGCGCAAGAAGAAAATAGACTTAGAGATCACAACGGCTTAAGAATAAAGAAATGACGAGATTGCTGGGTCTAATGGTAGTTCAGCTTTTAGCTCTCTGAGAACCTCCATACTGCTTTCCACAATGGTCGAATTATTTACACTCCCACAAACAGTATATACTCAGATGAATATAAATCATTTTACCATAAAGACACATGCATGCTAATGTCCATTGCAGCACCATTCACAATGATAAGACATGGAATCAACCTAAATGCCCATCAATGACAAATTAGATAAAGAAAATGTGGTACATATACACCATGGAATACTATGCAGCCACAAAAAAGAACAAGATCATGTCTTCTGTGGAAACTTGGATGGAGCTGGAGGCCATTATCCTTAGCAAACTAATGCAGAAACAGAAAACCAAATACCACATGTTCTCACTTATAAGTGGGAGCAAAATGATAAGAACTTATGAACACAAAGAAGGAAACGAGACACTGGGGACTACTTGAGGGTGGTGGGTGGGAGGAGGGAGAGGAGCAGAAAAGATAACTATATTGTATACTGGGCTTAATACCCGGGTGATGAAATAATATGTAAAACAAACCCCCATGGCACGTGTTTACCTATGTAACAAACTTTCACGTGTAGCTCCAAACCTAAAATAAAAGTTATAAAACAGAAAACCAAGGATAAAGAAATAATACTTCTTCATCAACCATCTCTGTGACAGGTACTATGGAAGGCATGTAACAGACATTACCTTATGCATTCATGACAACAGCCTTATCAGAAATGTCTCATCCCCATTTTACAGATGAGGGAACTAAAGCTCAGAGACAATGTGAACCAGAATAAACCAAGTTACAGTAACACATCAATCTCAAAATCTCAGTGGCTTAAGGCAACAATGTTAGTGGTTCTCTGGGGACAACTGTCCTTTGTGTGGTGATTCAGAGGCCCAAGCCATTTTAATACCATTGGATCTGTCATCTCAACACAAGGCCTGTAAATTTGCCCCAGCAGGGGAAGTGAGAGACTGGAGAATCTTGCAGCGGACTTCCGCTGCCTCAGGCCAGGAGTGGCATATGTTCCTTCGAGTCAGATGGCCTTGTTTAAATGCAAGGGGCTGGGAGACAGTATCTTCCCAGAACGTATATTGGTGTGGGCTATAATGTCCGGCAGGGAGAGGTTAAGTGGCTTTCACTGCCTTTCTTCCATCTCTTATTCACCCCGTCCTGCCTGTCTGTATAATTTTTCTCTCTTGCAGACTGGATCCCTTGAATTTTATGGTTCATATGTTGAAAACAAGGACACCTACAGGGCACGATGTTAGTGTTACAGATTCAGCCACCGAAGTATCTCATCTCTCCCTGTCTGTCTCTTTCCAGTTTCCCAGGGAGAGGACAAGTTAGGATGCCTGTCCTCTCGAGAGTCAACCATGCCTGGGAGAGAGGGGAGAAAGGCCACATGATAGAAACAGGGCAATTCCTGGTGCAACCTTGTAGATGAAGAGTGGGTAAAGGTGGCTGATCCTCTAAAAAGAGGGTCATTCAAAACTGTAAGTAGCAGAATGAGGATTAGGACCCAGGTCTGTCTGACTCCAGACCTTTTTTTAAACTGCACTTACTACACGTATATATAGCCTCCTGGACATTTTAAAAGTCAAAGAATTAGGAGAAACAGCCCCTGTGTATACAAAACCAGGGTTGCTGCAGAAAACTATGTATTTTCAGATAAGACTTACTATGGCATACACAAGTCAGTCTAAAACTAAGGGAAATATTAATTGGTTTGTCAGAGTTTACAGTCCTCTGTTTGTGGTATAGGCCTCCCAAGGCTATAAGATAAAGATGACTTCCTTTCTCCTCAAGAATCTAGCTCCTAGACCTGCTCTCCAATATAGTAGCCAGTAGCCTCCTGTAGTTATTTAATTTTAAATTTGCTTATATTGAAAATTCAGTTTCTCAGTCACATGAGCCACATTTCAAGTGCTCAATGGCCAGTGTGGCTACTGGGCATACCATTGGATAGTTCAGATATAAAACATTCCCTCATTGCTCTGTGTTTTCTTAGACAGCACTAGGCTAGCCCTTCAACTCATGGGTCTCCCCTACGGAGGAAACACTCTGAGTACAGGAAAAAAACTCAGCATTCTCAAATGGAATCAAAAAGTTTTGTACTGGCCGGGTGCAGTGGCTCACGCCTGTAGTCCCAGCACTTTGAGAGGCCAAGGTGGGTGGATGATGAGGTCAGAAGTTCGAGACCAGCCTGGCCAACATGGTGAAACCTCGTCTCTACTAAAGATACAAAAAATTAGCTGGGCATGGTGGCAGGTGCCTGTAATCCCAGCTACTCAGGAGGCTGAGTCAGGAGAATCACTTGAACCCAGGAGGCAGAGGTTGCAGTGAGCCGAGATCTTGCCATTGCACTCCAGCCTGGGCGACAGGGTGAGACTCCATCTCAGAAAAACAAAACAAAACAAAACAAAACAAAACAAAAAACGAAAGAAAGTTTTGTACTAAAGAAAATTAAGTCGCCTTAATAATAAAACCCACTGAAACCACCCTAAGACTCCAAAAGAAAAGATGGCAGGAAAGGTAAAAGAAGAAACAGGACTTCATTGCCCGTGGTTGTAGGAACGATTCAAACAGGCTCCAGTGAGAGTTAAGCAACATAATTCTCTTCATAAAGGTAGTTGGCTCCATTGCCAATGAAGTCTCACCTCAGCCCTCGGAGTGAACCACACACAGAGACTGCACAGACTCCTGCAAGGAGCATATCTTCTCTAGAGCCCG
Source organism: Homo sapiens (assembly GCF_000001405.40). Classification (NCBI taxonomy): domain Eukaryota; kingdom Metazoa; phylum Chordata; class Mammalia; order Primates; family Hominidae; genus Homo; species Homo sapiens. The sequence continues at coordinate 14,245,575 of NC_000006.12, forward strand.
TGTTCTCTTGTGTCTCTCCACGTTCTTCCTCTTTTATCCTTCCTCCACCTCCACTCTCACTTCATCTATGTTTTCTACTGCAAGACATTCACTCTCCTTCCACTCTTAACTCCCTTCAACTATCAAGCCACGTCACAGATCTAAATGGAATACTTTCTCAAATGGTACTCTGCCATCCAGGCAGCCATGAAGGCAAGGCCAGATTGAAGGGTCTCGAAAGATGATTTTGATTATCAAAAAATGACTATTGCCTTGAGGGGTACTTGTTTCTCTTTTGCAGAATGCAGCGCTGAGTATGTCTAAGGCTGGGTGAACATATAAGGTGCATTGCAAAGCGGTGTCCAAGCATGTTCTGTGGAATGACGGTTAAAAGGTATTCGTTAGCCAAACCAAACCAAACTGAACCAATAGTTTCCAAGGTCCAAAAAATTGAGGGCGACACTAGGTTAACATGTGTAGCCAAGAGTCTTTAATATGCAAATGTGTCTTGTGAATTTCCAGGAGGATGTCATCATATGCCACATTTCCTAAACTTATTTGACCCCAGATCCTTTTAGTTTTGCAGGGTTTTCTCACTGGATAAAAAACTCAGGCCCTAAAGTAACAAAGCTGGTTTCCATGGGTGACTTGGCCCTGAAAATAATTTCAAAGGAATGCTTGTCCTACAAATTTTGAGATTTTGGAGTGTCATACAAATGTTTCCAAATTGACTGTGAAAGACAAGCCGAGTGTGAATAATATATTCTGTTGTAGTCTTCAACAAAAGTTGCTCTCTAGATACTTGGTATGTTTAGTTGACATAGAAAGTTGAAAGTAAAGAAAATAAGGAGAAGAAGAAATAGGAATAAAGTATGAAGCCACAGAGAGAAAAAAATAACTCTTCATCTGGATTAAGCTTGGCTTCAAACGTTTAAATTGTCATGTCTAATGATATTGTGAATACCTCCTTTTGAGACTGAATTAAAAATTTCTAAGGGACTCGTATAAGAAGGTTTGGCAATCTTTGGGAATGAGGTAGTTATTCTTCATGGCCAAATCTAGGCTGGCAGTGATGTAACTTTCTCTCCAAACTGTCCATTACTGTATGTGGTTTGGTCTGGCTGACCCACAGGTAACACAGTACTTGGCTGTGACACACAGTACTCCCTTTGACACACCTCAGAGCTTCATTTCCTTTCTAATTTTTTTGCCTCATGGCCAAGAAAGTGGGGAGCCTATTCTATACTTCTGCATGTTTTCCTTCCGATTGTGAATTGATTCTGATAAACAAGCCCAGTCCCAAGGCTTCTAGCGACATTAATCTCAAGAAATGTGGTAGGTGAAAGGAAATCTGCAGTAACTGTTTCTAATAGTCAAATATGTAATTATAAAATAATTTGGCTCAAAATTAAGAACATTCCCATAATGAACAGTATTTGAGTTAAAACAGAAGCTATGAGATTTCAGTCACACCATGTAGATCCAGCTTTGTGCTGTGCCAGAGTCAGCAAAGTTGCCCAAAGACGACACCTGTTAGGGCACACGTGATGGCTGGCAGAAATATTTGAAACCTCAGTTTAAACACAGATAGGAATAGGGAAAGAGATGACTGAAGAGCACCTGACAGAATTCAACAACCATTTAAAGATAAAAACTCTTAGCAAAATAAGAATAGAAGAGAACTTGTAAATCTGAAACAGTGCGAAGCAAAAAACCTACAGCTAACATCATACTTACTGAAGAACTATTGAAGACATTACATATAAGATAAGAAACAGGACAAAAACATCTGCTTTAATCACTTCTATTCAACATTGTGCTGAGAGCATGGCCATTATAATAAAGAAAAAAAAAACCCAAGAAACAAACAGCATAAAAATTTGAAAGAAAGAAATAAAACTGTCTTTAGTTACAAATGACATGATTGTATACATAGAAAATTTTAAGTGATCTGCAAAATAACTGCTAGAAATAACAAACGAATTTATCAAATTTATAGGATATAGATACAATAAAAATTTTTATATGCTAATAGCAAAAAATCTGAAAAGTGAAATAACAATTAATAGCATCAACACATAAACTACTTAGAAATAAACTTAACAAAATTACAAAACAATGCTAGAAGACATTTTTTTAAAGTTTAAATTAAGAGAGATATACCATAGTAATTGACTTTCTTTCTTGATTCAAGGCTCAGTATTGTTAAGATATCATTTCTCCACAAGTATAGCTGGGCATGGTGGCTCACACCTATCATCCCAGCACTTTGGGAGGCTGAGGCAGGAGGACTGTTTGAGCCCAGGAGTTCAAGATCAGCCTGGGCAACATAGTGAGATCCTGTCTCTGCAAAAAGTTTTGAAGAGTTAGCTGAGCGTGGTGGCACGTGCCTGTAGTTCCAGCTACTTGGGAGGCTGAAGTGGGAGGATTGCTTGAGCCCAGGAAGTCAAGGCTGCAGTGAGCTATGATTGTGCTACTGCAGTGCAGCCTTGGGGACTGAGCAAGACCCTCTCTGCCCCCCCCACCGCCCCCACAAAAAAAACCCACAAATAGATTCAGTGCATTCCAAGTCAAAATCCTAGTTTTTTTTTTAATAGAAGTTGACAAACTAGTTCTAAAATTCATATACAAATACAAATGAGCTACAGTAGCCAAAACAACCTTGAAAAAGAAACAAAGTTGAAAAACTTAATGGTATCTGACTTCAAGATTTTTTTGAAACTGTGGTAATTACTATATTGGGATCAAGATGGACAAATAGATCATTGGAATAGAAAATAATCCAGAAAGAGACTCAAATATATATGGTCAATTGATTTTTTGCAAAAGTGCCAAGCAAATTACGTGGAGAAAGAGGAGGTTTTTTTCAACAAAAGGCACTAGAATAATTGAATATTCATGTGCAAAAAAATTAACTTTGACCCATACTTCACACCATAGACAAAAATCAACCTAAAATGGATCATAGGCATAAATGCAAAACTTAAATCTACCAAACTTTGGGAAGAAAACCAGAAAATGAAATCTTTGTGACTTTGGTTTGGGAAAAGATATTTTTAGTTACAGCAACCAAAGCCTAATCCATAAAAGAAAAAACTGAGAAATTGGGCTTCATCAAAATTTAAAAGTTCTGTTCTTGGAAAAACACTGTTCCCCAAACCACATACTTAAAGCAAATATTTGCAAATCACATATGATAAAAGACTTATCCAGAAAATATAACAAACTCTCAAAAATAAAAAATAAAAAATGAACAACTCTTTTTAAAAAATGTACAAAAGATTTGAAAGGACATTCACCAAAGAAGATACAGAAATGGCAATCACACACAGGAAAAGGGGACATCATTAGCTGTTAGAGGAATACAAAATGAAACCACAATGAGATACCATGTCATGAGAATGTCTAAAATTAAAAACTAACAACAATGAATGTGAGCAAGAATATGGAGCAACTGGAATTCACATTGTAAAATCACTTTGGAAAACTATTTTGCAGAGATTAAGCATTTAAGTGAAACATATTCTTCCCCAGTGATTCGGCATTCCACTGCTAGATGTTAACTCATGAAAAATGAAAACATAACTGTAAAAAGACATATATAAGAATAAGATGTTAGCTTTACTCATAATAGCCCAAATTGGATACAACTCAAATGCCCATCAACAATAGAATGTCTGAACAAATTGTGGTCTACTCACATGTTGGAATACTACTCAGTAAGTAAAAGAAAGAACAACAGATGCTTGCAACAACATAGATGAATTTCAACAATATGCTGAGCCTAAAAAATAGACGCAGGAGACTCCACATTGTATGACTGCAATTATACAGAATTCTATAATAGGCAAACTAATCCATGGTGATAGAGTAGTGGTTGCCTGTAGAGAGGAATTGACTAGAAAGAGGGAAAAGGGAAATTTCTGGGGTGATGGCAATATTTTTTATCTTGACTGGGTGGTAGTTACATAGGTGTATTGTATAGGTTTGCCCAAACTCATTGAATTAAACATGTAGGGTCTGTACCTTTCACTATATGTAAAATGCATGTTAAAAAGAATAGCAATGGACTCTAAACACCTACTTCCTAAGTCTTGATTAAATCTTTCATAATGTATTTTGGTGGTTGTTGCCGGTGGTGGTCTTTCAATTTGAAGAAGAAATTCTTAAGAACAAACACTCAGTTGTGTGAACAATTGTGTGCCCTGTTATGCAGAGGAGTCACTTGTGTACACTAGAATCCTTTCATTATGGACACTTCTCATCATGCATAGAGGGAGCAAAATCGCTTGACAGTTACATTGCCATCAAAGCAAATGACAGAGGCAGTCAAGAGCTGGGGCTCTGGGTTTAAGCAGATGTGGGTTTGAATCCTGGTTCCAGCATTCTTCAACCATTTGACTTTGGGCAAATTATGGAGCTTCTTGTCGCCTGGGGTCCTCACCAGTAAATGAGGAACATAATGCCTGCTTCATGGAGTAATTAGGAGATAGATGATAAAATGCTGCAGACTGTCCATATGGTGTCTGTTGATGAGATGAAGAATAAAATGAGGCTTCTCCTTAGTAGATACATAGTACTCCAGAGGATTTGGGCATTTTATTTAGAAATCTGTCCGAAAGTCTCCAGAAACATTCCCTTAGAAATTTTTTCTGCTAAATGAATGAGTTGGTCTGTGATAAAGAAAGAGAATTTGGTCCCTGGGTTCACATCTCTCACCCTTCCACAAGATTATTTTCACCTCTCACTCCCGATTTAAGCTCCCAGTCTCACCTCTACTTCACCTCCCTAAGCAGGACCAGGTTCTCAGGTTCTGATTTCACACAGAGGGGAAGCAACACTTTTATTTATTTTACATATCATTTAGATCTGGGTTACTTCAAGAAAGCTTAAGGCCTCTAATGGAAAAGCTTGAAAACTTAGCATCCATCTCAAGTGGGTGTTGGGTGTCAGGGTCTGTGCCAGTTGAGGTTGTGCCAATCTGATACTCAAGGTTTACACATACAGCCAATCAAAGAGGCTTCTACCAAGGAGATAAGCTTCCAGGATGGCCTGAGTTGCATCCTGAGCTACACTGTGTCCTTCTCTGACCCCTGTCCCCAAGACAAGATTTGGACAGCATCTGGTTGAGTTACCACCTTTCATAGCTCAGGGATATGTGTGACACTGCAAAAGTCACTTACCTTTTTGGGTATCCATCAGACAGATCTGAGAGTCGAACCCCAGGTGCCTAGAACTCACAACTCCCCCACATCACCAAGACCGGAGCCAGCTGCCAGAGTCTTCTCTTTCCTTGGTCCCAGCTCCAGCCAGAGCATCCGTGGTATAATACAGTATACCATTCCTCTACGGCCTTCTCTGAGTGTTCTGGATCTCCATATTCTGGCTTCTCTGAATGACCCCAGCACTTACTCTCTGTTCCTCTTATTGACACACATGTGGAGCTGGGGAGTGCTCAAGTAGCCTGAAGTCCAGCAGATCTGACTTCATGTCCTGCCGTACTCACTCATGACCTTGGCCCAGTTCAAACCTCTCAATCTCTGGTTCTATAAAATCACTCTCATAACAGTACTTATCTGTTTTCCTAAGGATTTAATGAGATAACATACTCAAGGGGCTGGTACTTAGTAAACACTTAACACATGTCAGCAGTTGTTCTTATTGTATTTACCAATTATAATAATTTTTTGTATTATTCTCCGATTGTTGCCTCTAATGAAATCTTGAGTCCCAAATTAGTTATTTCTGTGAGGGTCAAGAGAGCTTATATATTTCTTTTTATGTATCTCCCACTGTACCTAGGGTGATACCAGGCATTGGGGGCAGCATTGATAACAACTTAATAAGTGATTATAAGTGACTTGATATGTGACTTGCTGTGCCTCTCTGTATACCATATGCACATACATATACCATTGTATTAGTCCGTTTTCGCACTACTATAAAGAAATACCTAAGACTGGGTAATTCATAAAGAAAAGAGGTCTAATTGGCTCATGGTTCCACAGGCTGTCCAGGAAGCATAGTGGCTTCTGCTTCTGGGGAGGCCTCAGGAAGCTTCCAATCATGGCAGAAGGTAAAGAGGGAGTAGGCACATCTTACATGGTTGGAGTAGGCACATCTTACATGGTTGGAGCAGGAGGAAAAGGAGAAGGGAAGAGCCACACAGTTTTAAATAACCAGATCTCGTGAGAACTCACTCACTATACAGTACCGGGGGGGATGGTGTTAAACCCTAAGAAATCACCCCATGATCCAGTCACTTCCCACCAGGCCCATTTCCAACAATGAACATGAGATTTGGGTGGGGACACAGGCCAAAACCATATCAATCATATACTTATACATATACATATACATATACATATACATATACATATACATACACATACACAGGCACATATACCATACACATATGCAATGAATAGGGGATCTGATCTTAATTATTCTTGTATTGTGATGTTCTTTCCCCAAACCTTTCTTTGGAGTCACACTTTCCATATGTTGATGAATATGAATGTATGACTGGCTCATATTACAATTTTATTTTCTTTAAAAAAAATTTGATTCTTCTCAGTAAGCCCAGGTTAAACCCTGTTGAGCTATTAGTTGATCTCTTTCTTTCTGAAAGAGGACAAAAGATCAAGGCATTAGTTTGCAGATTACAAGGATTTTTTTTAATCCTCCTAACTAGTTCAGTTTCAGTGTATTTGCTACTGTGGAAAAGATGGCATCGTTCCTGAAGGGAACATGGAGAATCGGGTGACACGAAGACAAAAACCTGCTGGATTGCTGCAAGAAATGTCCTCAGGTGACCGAGGCTCTTTTGTGAGAAAACAAGAATGTCCTGGCTGCTGAAAACAACAGACGGTGACATGGTTTATGTTGGGCGATGAGGTGACTTCAGCAGGTGCTCCAGGAGAGTCCCCCTGCGCTTGCTGGTCTGTGTAGGGCTTCCCTCCAACCTGCCTGTCTGGGGACTGGGAGAAGGGCTCCTGTGAGGAGAGGCTGGGGGCCCATAGTTCCTGGACCTTGACTTCCTGTTGATACCTTGTTCAGGCTGGAGCTAAGCCACTGACCCCACAGCCTTAAGACCAAATCCCTGCAGCAAAGATGCTGCAACCCATTCTTACATGCTTTTCATATCCTTTTGTACGAGGCTGGGTGAGAGTGAGAGGACAGGATAGAGAGCTCGTGACAACACCTTCTCTTTGGCCTCTTCAACATCACAGGCCGCTGAAAGAGATGCAAGAGACCAGGACCCAGAATCCCAAGATACAAATGAAACACCCAAGAATTCCAGTGTCCGTTTTCTTCTGCCCAGCCATCGCTGGTGTCTCAGGGACAAAACGGCTCCCTAGGACTCTTATCCATCCACACACTCCAGGATTTTAGTTGTGACTTTTTTTGAGCCTCTTGTGGTAGGTATAATGCGACATCAAAATTTGAGATGTGCAAAAAGTAGAGGTTTTTAAATTTCTTTTTTGTTTTTGGTAACTATTTAATTTCTATTTTGAGCCCCTGTTTAGCCAAATGATGAAAATCTAGTCAGATAAGGATCCTCCTCTCTTTCTTCAAAGTCACATCTGCACCCCAGGAGGTAGACAGTACTGAAATATAGAGGGTGTGGAGAGAAGGAGAGCAGGGTCATCTGAACCTGGGTGTCTTCACGGCTCTGTCCTGGCCTCTGCAGAGAGGTCCTTCTTCCTCACCCAGCTCTCTGCCAGGATGCCTTTGTTGCTAACTACTTCTTAGGTTCTGTCTGCCTCTCTCCTCTCTCTTTCTCTCTGCCATGCCTGCACCCTCTTGGGAGCACAGAAAACACATCACTGGCCCAGCACACCCTAGGGGAGAGAGCTTCTGAGAGGCTGCCTCCAGCCTGCCCCCCCAGACACACCTCACGACATTTCCTCTGTACCTGACCTTGCCAGGCATGGTGAAAACAGGTAGGGGGTGGTGAAAACAGGTAGGGGGTGGGTGGGCCTTACTACCCCTCAAGGCTTTCCCTAGGCCCAGGAGGGTGATCCTCTCTGCACTCACGGTATTATTCCTTCTTCTCTTTCCTACAAAACTCAAGAGCCAGGAGCATCTCAGTCTTCCCTCCCTCCCTTCCCATGCTCCTCTCCCTCACTTTCAGACCCAGGGAATCTATCCAGTCCCAGGGTGGGGAAACCTTACATTTATATCATCATATACATTTTATGCTTTGAGTCCCCAAGATCATATTGACTTTCTTCCCCCTCTTTGATCTGGTGCAGTATTGCCCCGAGGCCTGGATGAACAGGACTCCTGCACCAGGCCTTAACCCTTGGGAGACCCTGCACTTTGAAGTATTTTCTGTGAACATTTCTAAGTCCTCTTCAGGTGCTTGAAGCATCCATAGGCCCATTTTTCCTTTCTGGGGAAATATCTGATTCTTTTTTTTTTCTTGGAGAGAGTCTCGCTCTGTTGCCCAGGCTGGAGTACAGTGGCACAATCTCGGCTCACTGCGACCTCCGCCTTTTGGGTTCAAGCAATTCTCCTGCCCCAGTCTCCCGAGTAGCTGGGACTACAGGCACACACCGCCACGCCCAGCTAATTTTTTGTATTTTAGTAGAGACAGGGTTTCACCATGTTGCCCAGGCTGGTCTTAAACTCCTGAGCTCAGGCAATCTGCCCGCCTCGGCTTCCCAAAGTGCTGGGATTATAGGTGTGAGCTGCCGCGCCCGGCCCTGTCTGACTCTTTACTGCCGGGGTCTATCAGATACTTGAAGGGCCCAGACCTCGCACCTATAGGGTCGTCCAAGGCCCCAGTGCTGGGCTTTGGTTCTAGAAGGGTGGACTGCAAGCAGATTCCTCCCACTGGATGAAGCAGAATTTATTTCTCAGAATTCTATGGGATGGGACCGCCATACTGGTGCTGCAGACATGCTGATTTGAGGTGACCCAAACTGTCTATATGGACATTTCCCTGTCCCCTGCAAAAATATGTGCCTGGCAGACAAATTAAGTTTAACAAACTTCAATTGAGCAACGAATGATTTGTGAATTGGGCAGCCCCCAAACCACAATAGGTTCAGAGAGGCTCTAGGCCTGGTTGAAAAAGACTTGTAGAAAGCGAAAGCAAAGTGATGTACAGAAAATGGAAGTGAGATACATAAACAGCTGGATTGGTTACACCTCGGTGTGCGCCTTATTTGAAAAGGGTTTGAGCATTTGGCCACCTGTGATTGGCCGAGAAACTCAGCGATTGGCATGAGAGTAGGTTACAGTCTGTTTACACATTCGGGTAGGTTACAGTTCACTGTGCATGAAGAAACCTTTAGGCTGAACTTAAAATATGTAAGGAGGCATCTTTAAGCTAAACTTAAATTTAACACCCCACGTACCCTCTCGGGTGACTTTGTTCTTGCATCTTCCTCCTTCACTCAGGCGATAAGCATGACATATCGAGCTACTTCTAGAATAAAGGGGAGGGACACGGGTAACAGAAAACACAAGGAAAAAGTACATTAGCAAATTTACCCAAAGATCATACTGCCATTCTCTTGAATTGGCCCAGTATATAGTCAATACTGAGCATCAGAAGACTTGAATTTGGCCGGGTGCAGTGGCTCATGCCTGCAATCCCAGCACTTTGGGAGGCCGAGGCTGTGGGTTACCTGAGGTCAGGAGTTCAAGACTAGTCTGGCCAACATGATGAAACCCCGTCTCTACTAAAAATACAAAAATTAGCTGGGCATAGTGGTGGCCGCCTGTAATCCCACCTGCTCAGGAAGCTGAGGCAGGAGAATCACTTCAACCCGGGAGGCGGAGGTTGCAGTGAGCTGATATTGCGCCGCTACACTCCAGCCTGGGCGACAGAGAAAGACTCCATCTCAAAAAAAAAAAAAAAAAAATTGATTGAGCTCAGGTTAGTTTTAGTCCTGACTCTGCTATTAACCAGCTGTGTGATCCTGGGCAAGATATTTGACCTCTCTGGGCCCGTTTCTTCATCTTTAAAATGAGATGGATGGATGGCTATCTATAATAGATGGATGGGCAGATGAGGGAGGGAAGTTTCCCAGATAGACTGGGGAGGAGGTGGGAGCTGGTGGTTGTCTAGACTCTCTGTCCCTACCTAGTGCTGCAAAAATTCCCATTTGGGCGCTATCATCCCCATCACGCCTCTTTCCCCACTGCTTTGTTTCCAAGAGCAGCTTGGTGAGGTAAATGAAAAGATTGCTCTAAGAGTCAGAAAACCTGAATTTTTCTTCTACAGTGTTTGTTGTGAGCTTTTGGCAATGTAGAAGCTCTCCAGGTGTTACCTTTCTCATCAATAAGATGCAGTTAATGATACGTGTTTCGTGTATCATGGTGTTTTGGGCATCATGTGTGACAGTGTGCATGGAAGCTGCTCTGCAGCCCTGAAGCCCACAGGTAAGGTCGTGTCTTACAAGGCATGACTGGGACTGCTTCTCTTCCATATTCCCCGCTACAGCTGCCCATGGGATTCCTATACAGTGTACACCAAACATTGTTCCAGGTGACTTCACAGCTCCCGAATGAAACTGAGTAACAGAGATCACCAGATAAGGTGGTGTTACTGAGTTATGTTCACCATGTGTCAGGGAAAAGGACTTCTGCGTTGTTTTATTTTTGTTTTAAGGCATCAGAGCCAGAACATGTACAGTTTTTACAGGGAGACTAAAAACTAAGGGCTTACTTGTCCAAGTAAGTGTGGTTTGCCACCCGAACTGAATGAGACAGTGGAAGGTCTCCTGCTAAATGAGACAACGGGAAGGAAAAGCAGGCTTAGAAGCATATTTGGGATAGATCTACGGAGATAGGACAGTGCTCAGAGAAGAAGACGAAAGTTGTCCTTCTGGTAAATGCCTATATGAAGTTAGTGAGAGAACTGCCACATCTTATCCCTTTCACCTGAGCCAATTACTCTCGGTCACTTCTTAAATAATTCTCACTTGATGGTATTTGGGGAAAACCTGTCTCAGACCTTTTGCCTCTGCTCTCACACCCCAACAATCAACACAGAAGAAGGCTTCTGTAGCCAAATGTGTGGGTTTTCCCCCCACACTGACAGCAGACACCAGCTGGGTGTCTTCTAATTCAATTCCAACACTCCCTACCTGGAAATAGTGTCAGATTCCACAGGTTGAGGGCTCACTCAGTCCCCAAGACTGCCCCCACTTCACACATCTGTGACATGAGCAGGCCTCTGGAACTTCTGATCTACTGTCTTCAAGTTGGCGTTCTCATAGCCCCCTCTTAGGATTTGATTAACTTGCTGGAGCAGCTCACAGGACTCAGGGAAACACCTGTGTTTACCACTTTATTATAAAGGATATGAATGAAGAGCAGCACAGGGAGAGGTGTGCGGGAAGGGGCGTGGAGCTTCCAGGTGTCATCCCTGGGAGTGCCACCCTCCAGGAACCTCCACATGTTCAGCTCTCTAGAAGCTCTCTGAACCTTGTCCTTTTGGGTTTTTCTGGAGGCTTCCGATAGGCATGATTGACGTTACATAGGCATGGTTGACAACCGTGTAGAAATGTGCCTGGATAAAAAGCCCATGATCTAAACCCAGCAAGGCCTGTCTGTTCAGACTTTTCTTGGTCTCTCTGCATAGCATTCTTTCCTCTAGGATATGGGGCAAGACCCTCTCTGGAATGAGGGTCTTTTTGATCCACAATCAGATTAGAGTCCTGCCTTGGGCAGGTAAAAGGAGGACAGGAAAAGGTCAGAGAGAGAGATTATATTTCCAGAGGCCCATCTCTGAGGTCTAAAGCACCCCAACATTATAACAAAAGACTGCAATAAGGGTTATGGGTGTTATGATTCAGGAACTGCAGATGAAAATCAATATGGGGGTGCGTGTGTGTGTGTACACACATATATAAAATCACATATAAAATCATAGTGTCACACATGGCATCATAAAAGTTTAGAGTAGGAGGAAATCTTTAAATGACCTAGACTGACCTTCCCCTTAGTTCAGTGGCTCTTGAAGTACCCATGCCCTCCAGCCAGCAGGCACAGAGAACTTGTTAGAAATGCAAGCTCACGCCTGTAATCCCAGCACTCTGGGAGGCTGAGGCGGGTGGATCACGAGGCCAGGAGTTTGAGACCAGCCTGGCCAACATGGTGAAACCCTGTCTCTACTAAAAATACAAAAAACTAGTTGGGTGTGGTGGCAGGCGCCTGTAATCCCAGCTACTTGGGAGGCTGAGACAGTAGAATTTCTTGAACCCGGGAGGCAGAGGTTGCAGTGAACCGAGATTGCACCACTGCACTCCAGCCTGGGCAACAGGGCAAGACTCCGTCTCAAAAAAAAAAAAAAGAAAGAAAGAAAGAAAGAAATGCAAGCTCTTGGGCCCTGCCTCAGACTCACTGAATCAGCAACCCTGAGTGGGACTCAGAAATCAGAGAACAAGCCGCCCAGGTGATTCTGATAGAACTAAAATGTGAGAACCACAGTCCTCATTCATCCCTTTCTAAAACAGCATACCTGACACCTAACAGACGACCTTTCGGCTTCTAGCTGAATATTTCTGGTGATGGGGAGCTTACTACCTCATGAGACGTCTAACAATTAGATAGTTTCTCATTTTCATGAGATAAATCTGACTTCTTGTCACTTTCACCCTACTTTATCCTCTGAATGCAATTCAGAGATATACTGACTCCAGATCACTGGAAACTGGGCTAATTATTCACATAGTAGGAATTTGGTAAAAGAGAATAAACTGGGAGGGAGGCCAGGGCCTCACATTTTCCTTTCAACCAAATTAAATAGCAAGATTAAGGGCTGTCCCTGCCATTTGTGAGATTATGATAAATATCAGTATTAATAACAATAGTGACAGTAATAATTACCCACGGCTCGATTTGGATGCAGGTCAAGAAACCATCCAAATCAAATTACATGTAAGAAAAATATGTGTTCAGTGGGGGGAACATTCTCAAAGAGGAAGAAAAATTGACACTGTGAAAAACATTTCACCTTCTAATGGGGATAACTATTCCGTTCCATTCCAAGGAGGTGATAAGAGAAAAATCTCCTTGCAGGACAGGGATATTTTATGGATGAGGTTCCAGCCCCGCTTTGGCTCAGTGTGTGCACAGTAAAAAAAAAGGCTGGTGGGCAAAAATGAGCCTTTACCTGAGGACACCTCAACCAGGGCTGCTTTGACTTGAGTATGCTTGTTTGGCCAGTTTTTATTGGTGGGGGTCTTTTCTATTTGTTCCCGGTGGGTATTTGGTAGAAGGAACAGGAAGAGAATGTGATATTCTTTCTCACACAGGGAGGCAGAGAGGGGAGGGATGGGACTGGGGAGGGGGAGGAGGAAGAGGAGGAGGAGAAAGAGGAGGAGGAGGGAGGGTGAAGTTACCCTGAGGCTCTGGCCTCAGCCTCCCTTCCCTCAGTCTAGCTATAATCTCTTCTTCCACTTTCTTGCCCCCACAGCTCTAAGCAGTGCCAGGGTACTCTTATAAATATTTTTTTCTCCCCCAAATTTGAGCCTGGAGAGTGTTTACTTCCTGTCAAATCCCAGGGACCTGCTGATTTTTCCCATTACTGCAAATTGCTGCTCTGGGTGCTTTGCATTTGTTATTAAGATGCAATCAGGGCTGCCTAGCTGATTACCAGCCTCACCTCAGCCCCAACCCTCACACCTGACTTAGGAGTGAACTGCAGTGTAAAACAGAATCCCAGTCTCTGGCTGCTGGGGACCGGCGAGGGCTTTCTGTTTTGTCAGGGGCACAGGGGCTCCGGTGGGCAGCTGGGGCAGAAGGAGCACCAGGAAGGAGCCAAGAGGTGCTGGGCTCCTCCACAGATCCTGAGATGCTGAAAAGCAACTTCGTGTTTCTCAAGTTCCTGGGAATTGTGGTGGGTGTTGGGCCGTGTGACAGGCCTCTGGAATGATGACGGCTGATGGCTGTGGCGGCCTGCCCGAGCCAGGCCTTCCACACGAATAAGCGCAGAGTGTCTCTTAAGGCTAAATGGCAGGATGATGCGCCCATGGGTGATGGCCTGCCTGGAATCATGTGTCAATCAGCATGCTCCCAAACAGCTACAAGCTCTGCCACAGACACAGCCCCCATCTCTGCCTTCCACCTGAGGACCCCTCCTCCTCTGCCCACCCTTGTCAAATCCACCCAGCCCCTTCTTTGGTTATGTTCATGACTGCAGCCAGCAAAATGCACACAAGCACGTGAGCACACACTTCCAGCGGCTTCTGAGCACACAAAAAAACCAACTCCCGGGCCAGAGCTCGCTTTCTTTAGGCCATCTGTGACCCTAACTCCTCTCTCCTCTTGCTTGCTTTGTTAAAAAGTGTCTCCATTTTTATTAAACAAGTGTCTTAGCTCTTGCCTTCCCTGAAGGTTCATTGTTGCATGAAAAAAAGAACAGCTCCCCTGAAGATCACAAACACAGAAATTGTATTGAATCACTGAGAAGGGAAAGGGTGAGAGAATCGGAGGAGAAGCTGCAGCAACACAGCTGTCACAAATTCAAGCAAAAGCATCAAAACCTGATAACGAGAGAGACAAGCTAGAGCTCTTTGTGTGCCCCTCCACGGACATCTTTTTAAAATCCAAGTCAGATCTACGTGGGGAAGCTTGCAGCAGTGTGATGCTTGTCCTGTGTCACCTGATTTTTATTAGATCTACTGAATGTGTTGATGGAAGAAAAAATAGAGCGTAGAGAGGAAAGGGAGAGAACTAAGGGAGGTGGGATTTTTGTAGCACTGAAAGTGCCCAGACTTGAAAAGAGACAGGCAATCCTGAGTTCAAACCCTGCCTATTCCACTTACTGCCTCTGTTTCTTGAGCCTGTTTTTCCCATTCTGAATAGAGATAATGAATCTGTATCATAGGATTATTACAAGGAGGACACAAGGAAGAATAAACACAGTATGTAAAATTTGCTTGCTTTTTCTGTTATTTGGAGAAGAAGATGGTTAAGGCAAGAATTTTTTTAAAATAAAATTATTTTTGGCATCATTTAAAGACCAAGATGAGACTCTACTCAGGATCAAAAGGGATTATGGTGCCCTATCCTCCCATGGAGAAAAACATACAGTTATTAAACTCCAAATTTGCATTATTCTGCTCTCCTTACTAATTCTACTTTTTTTTTTTTTTTCCTGGTATGCCACTTAGATAGCCTGAAGCTGACAAACACAAAGCCTAGACCCGGGGTCCTCCCCAGTTGCTCAGGGAGTCTTCTTTCTGGGCCCAAGTTTAAAGGCAAGTTGCATTGTGGGGCTCACACAAGAAAGAACAGAACTGTCTTTAGCACAAAGAGGCATCCCAGAGTGTGTTTAGGGAGAAACATAAAGGGTTGACCTGGGTGAAGCCCATGACAGAAACCTTGTGAAAGAACTTCCCAAGGAGGCACATGCTAAGGTGGGCTGTGAGCATGCCAACAGGTGTGTTCCCTTGGGGCAGCTGGGGCCTCTGAGCCTTTTCTAGGCTGTGAGGTGTCCAGGGAAGGCCTAACATATGTGGAATTGGAGTCCCTGACTGTCATTAGAATCCCAGAAGCAAAGAAGAGAAGGAGAATGAAACAGAAGCAAAGTTTGAAGCGATAATACCCAAAGTTTCCCTGAACAGAAAAACAATATCCAGACACAGATTCTAGAAGCTTAATAAACACTGATAAGGTAAACATAAGACAAATGCATCTAGATATCTCATGGTCTTCTATATGACTGCTAAAAATGAAAGACAGAAAAAAATCTTAAGAGTAATCAGATTTTAAAAAGGACATTACTTTCAAAGGAGCAACACTAACACCGAACTTCTCAAAAGAACCGATGGAAGTCAGAAGATGATAAAATGATGTGTTTAAAATTCCAGAATCATAGTGGGAGGTTTTAACAGTATAAGTAAATGATAAACAAGCAGTCAAAAAGTCAGGAGGGCTATAGAATGCCTGAACAACAGGCCTAGCAAGTTGAATTATTATAATACATAGGAGACTCACCAAACAAGTACAGAACATGCCTTCTTTTTAAGTACACATGAATCGTTTTCCAAATTGATTATGTGCTGGACCATAAAGTAGTATCAACAAACTGTAAGCTATTAAAATCATAGTCTTTGACTACAGTGAAATTGAACTAGAAATTAATCACAAAAATGAATGAAATGATGATAAAATATGGCCTATTAAAATATGTGCTTAAAGGAAGGGCACAGCCTCAAATGTTAGAAAAGAAAAAAGGCTGAAAATAATGATGTGAATATTCATACGAAGAATTTGGGAAAATAAAACACAATTAAACCCTAATATAGTAGAAATAGGAATTTAATGAAATAGATGACAAATGTATAACAGAGAAAATCAACAAAATTAAAAGTTGTTTTTTTGAAAGGACTAATAAAATGTATTACCCCCTAGTAAGACTATGTATTAAATATTTGTGTGTGTAGCGTGGGGACCACACATAAATTATCACATTAGGGATGAAAAAAGGGACATTATTCCAGAATCTCCTTACATTAAAAAAGTGAGAAGATATTTTCAATAACTTCATGCCAATACATTTCATAATTTATAAAAATAGATCTTATCAAAATTAATACAGAGAGAAACAGGAATTTTGAATAGCTCAATAGCTATTAAAATTGAATTCATTATTAAAAACCTTTCCCTAAAGATAACTCCAGACCCAGATGGTTTCACCAATAATTTTTTTCAAACTTTAATAAATAAATAACTGATTTTATACAGTTTTCAGAAATAGGAAAACAAAAGACATTTTAAAATGTGTAAAGCCAAATATAGTTCAAAATAATGCAAGGAAATCACAAGACAGAAATTACAGGCTGATCTCTTCCATGAATGTAAATTTTAATTATTTTTCAAAATATTAGCAAATCAAATCTGTGATTTATAAAAGGTACAAATTACAACCAATCTGAGTTAATTCCAGAGATACAGGATTGGCTTAATAATCAAAAGACAGCAATTGTAATTTATCACATTAATAGAATGAAGGAGAAAAACCATGTGTCTATATCAAAAGATGTAGAAAAAGCATTTGATAAAATTCAATATACATTTCTGATAAAATCTTTACTTATCAAAATGAAAATAACATTTCCTTAATCTGACAAAAAGCATCTGTTTAAAAAGATCTACTGCGATCACCATGCTTAAAGGTAAAATACAGAAGCCATCCCTTGAGATTAGAAATTAGTCAAGATTCCTGGATAACGTTTCTTCAACGTTGTCCTAAAGTACAGCAAGAAAAAAAAAACTCTGAAGTCTCAAAAGGAAGGTACAATACTATCAGTATCTGTAAATGGCATGAATGTGTGCTTAGAAAGAGACAAAATAATTTATAGCAAAACTGTTAGAATCGTTAAGTAAATTCAGCAAAGTCACTGAATACAATGTTGATATACAAAAATAAATTGTATTCCTATATATTAACAACAATTGAAAAGAAAATAAAATCATACCATTTATAATAGGATCCCCAAATAGCAAATGCCTAGAATAAATCTAATGAAAAACCTGCAGGAAAGCATTATGAAAGAAATTACGGAAGGTCAAATAAAGAAGGAATAGACTATGTTCATGGATTAGAGATTCAATATTATAATAAAGCCAACTGATCTAAGTATTAAGAATTTAGGATACCTTGTTTGTTTTTTGCTTTTTTTCCTTTTGGGAAAAGTGACAGGCTGATTATAAAATGTGTATGAAAATGTAAGAATAATAACTACATTCTCCTTGAATAGGAAAATAAAATTAGATGGCTTATAATATTAAGAGAGATTATAATGCTACAGTAATTAAGAGAACATAGTATTCATGTAAAATATAAATATGAAGCAAAGTATCAGAAGAAATTATTAAAAATAGACCCATTCATATAAAGTTATTTGATTTATGCCAAAGTTAACATAGCAGTGCATTTTTTAAAAAATGACCTTTTTCCTAATAGTCTGAATCAGTGAAATATACGTATGAAAAAAATATTGATTCCTATCTTACATCATATCTTAAAAAATTAGTTCCAGGAAAATTACAAATATAAATATGAAAGCTGAAACAATTCAAACTCTAGTTTAATAATAGGGCTCTTTCATAACATTAAAGTGAAAAATTGTTTATTAAGCAGGGCACACACAAAAGGATAATAACTATAAAATAGGTGATTAATAAGTTTTACTACATAAAAAATAAGAATGTCTATTCACAAAAATGTCTCTTAATAGAGACTGAAAGTCAAGCCTGACAGTAGGAAAAAGATATTGGCAATACATCTCTCTGAGGAAAGTCTCCTATCTAGAGTAGATAAAGATATCCTATTAATCAGTAAGAAAAAGATGACTCAATAGATAAATGTGCAAAAATCCTTGTTGAGCACCTCTAAAAGAAGACATCCAAGTGGCTAATATGCATGTGGAAAGGTGTTAAATCTCATTAGTCTTCAGGGAAATGAAAATTTAAGCCATAATGTAACAACAACACTACATATCCACCACAATGGCTAAAATTAAAAAGATCAACAACACTCAGTGTTGGTGAAGATGTGAGGTCCAGCTGAAATTCTCATATCCTGACTATGTGCTGTGGTGTTATACAGTATGAATTGAAAAACAACACCTTGAAAAACTATGTGATGGGATCTACTACAAAAACTATATGGTGGTATCTACTTCATTGTGGTATATGAACATACATATACCACAAGACTCAGCAATTCCACTCCTGCTGTTTGCTGGGCAGCCATCTCTCACCCACATCTTTAAGGTCTGCCCTCTTACTGATGTCCAGTGCTTTTGAGGGCCCAAGGCAGTGCCTCACTGTGGTATAAGGGAGAAGAAACACGTTCCTTCCTATCTTAGGTTCATGACTGAGGCCCCAGAGAACAGCATATAGATTTATTTGCCATAAGTTTTATGTAACATGGGAGCCTTCATAAGAAAAAGAAGCTCCAAAGAAACAGTTCAGCTTGTGTATTTTTATGCTAGATGTGATGAAGAGTTGACAGTGATGGAGAAAGTAATTGGACAAAGGGGTATGATTTAATGGTAATAAACTGGGGGGGATTTAACAAGGCCTGTTTGCTTAGATTCTTCTCTGTGTCCCTGTGTCCTCATAGATAAGAATGTTCTTGGGCCAGGTGCAGTGGCTCAGGCCTGTAATCCCAGCACTTTGGGAGGCTGAGGCAGGCAGATCACCTGAGGTCAGGAGTTCGAGACTAGCCTGACCAACATAGAGAAACCCTGTCTCTACTAAAAATACAAAAATTAGCCAGGCGTGGTGGCACATGCCTGTAATCCCAACTACTTGGGAGGCTGAGGCAGGAAGATCGCTTGAACCTGGGAGGCGGAGGTTGTGGTGAGCTGAGATCACGCCATTGCACTCCAGCCTGGGCAACAAGAGCAAAACTCTGTCTCAAAACAAAAAAAAAAAAAGAAAGAAAAGAAAAAAATGTTATTTTCCTCTGAGTATAGGGAGAGCTTCTTTCATATGAGGCTGTTATGATCTGCTTCAGGAGAAGGTCAGAAAATCCTTCCCAGGTTTCATGACCTGCCTCAGGGAAGAAGGGCAGTGGGAAAGGTGAAAATTCCTTTCCTGCTTCTGCTGTTTTCTTAAATGCCAAGGTGCCACATTTGGGGATAGCATGTCCTATACCCAATCAGTGGCCATTCTCTGCCCAGGGTGCTAACTATGGAAGCCCTTCTGGTGACCAAATGGTACTGCAGTTTCTCCTATCTCAACTGGACCTGAGCCACACTGAGCTCCTCACAGACACAGGGCGCAGTTGTGTGCTGTATTTCATGACAGAAGTCTAAAGCAGTTTTGCTTGTGCCCCCATTCACACAAAACCCCTTGGATTTTCAACTACTCCTGCCTGCTGGCACTCTCTCCACAGACAAAGCCTAGTCCATGGGTTCTGATCAGGAAACAGACCCCATGCTGTCCCCTCCATCTGTGTCTTGCCCCTAGGCCCCTGTCATCAACCTTCTGTAAGTGCAAACAGATGCCTGCAGGCTGCTTGTGACATTCATTACTCAGACACCACAATTCTAGCTCTTGCTTTAGGCCCCTTGGGACTCCTGCTACATGGTGTGTCATTTAGGAATTCTTTGGGCTGCAAGTAAGAGAAATCCCAGCCAATGGTACCTTAAATCAATAGGCACTAGCTTTTCTGATTAAGAAATTGGGAGGTAGGTAGAGGCTGGTATTGGTTCAGCTGCTCAGTTGAATCATCAGGGAGCCAGATGTTTTCTATCTGATCGCTGTGACATCCTTAGTATTGGCTTTTTGTCCCTTATCTTTGCCATCTCATAGTTACAAAATGGCTATGTAGCTCAAAGCATCACGACCATGTGCAGTACAGAAACAAGGGGGAAGAGATAGTATAGCTCACGCTATGTCCCACCTGTCTCTTTTATCGGAAAGGAAAGCCTTCCTTTCCCCAGCTCCCACCCTCAGCAAACCCTGATGTCTCCTTTGTCAAAACCATGTCACATGGACACGCCTAGATACAGAGGACACTGGAAAGTGAATATTCAGTAGTTCAAAATGGCCTTTGCATAGCCAACTAGCAGTGCCAAACAACAGTCACTCAGAAACACAAATCGAAGCAAAACTGTTGTATAATCCACCTAGAATGGAATAATTGGGAGCTGGATTTACCTATTCAGCTTGGCTTTCTTTGGGGACAGATATGTACTTTCATCTTCCCCATGCAGGCTTTGAAATTACTTGCTTGGTTTTTCTGTGTTTCCAGTCAAAATGAGGTTTTCCTTTGGTAAATATAACGATTTTCTAATAAAAGTGCCAAATTATTTTATTGAGTGGTGACTTTAGACTTTCCTCCCCGCTACTTATTTGAACATCAGAGTCAATTCCCCCAGTGTCATTCTAGACAATTTGATAGAGTAAAGGAATGAGAAGCCTCTGCTCAGTCAAGTGTCTGATTAATACAGGTGCAGTATGCAAATTGCTAACTTTCTAAAAATTAGAATCAGATAAAACATGCTTACAACTGCTCTTACAGTATCTCTTCTTTTTCTCAATCTCTTAACATCTTCTTCCCAAACATTACCTGTTATGTGTGGTAGGATGTTACCTTTTTGAGACTGTTGTTAATTTTCCCTCTTTTCTTAGCCCTAATCACTTCCCTCTAGACTCCTACGCCTCTCTGCCACTCTTTGCTGATTGTCTTATATGGACAAATCATAAATCCAACTGAGAAAATGGCAGGTTGCAGAGTGTTTACACCAGTATTAAATTTAATCACAATACACACCCTTATCTGGACATGGCACCTCCCCACAAAAAATAGATACCCATTTATCCATAAGACGTTTTTCCGACCTACTTCCTCTGTCATCGCTAGGCAAGTATTTCCAATCTGCTTTCATATTGCGTTTACGGCAAATGCAGTGTGTCAGGAATTCTAGATTATCTTTCCCAATGTAGTGTGAGGGGGTGAATTGACAAGTTGTTTCTGTTTCTTTGTGTCTACCTGTACTTTTTATGTACAAATAGAGAGTGTACTGAAAATTGTTGCTATTTAATGATTCCTTCCTTCAAAACATCCTATGAACCTGCTCACAGCTCTCAAAACATCAAAGGCATGATGCAGTGCAAAGCTAAAGCCTTAATGGGAAACCAGAAATAGAAGAGTTGGTTTGGAAAATGCAGGATGTGCCAATTAAGATGGGAAAGACAAAGAGAAAGCCTGCACATCGAGTTTTAGGACACAGAAAAGAGAGAAAATGGGAGTTTTAACGGTTAGAGTCTGAGAGGTGGGCAGCCTGACTGATGAGCTGAGTGACCAGAGAATCAGCATTCCAACACGGAGGTTTCTATGTGTGGCTGAACATCATCTCCTGCATCGAACAGCCACCAAAAGCTGGACTCCACCAGTCAATGGCCAGTGAAAGACAGAGCAAGCCTGGTGTTGAGAGCCTCTGCTAGCACACACAGCTTCTGAAAAAAAAATTTTTCACGGAATGGGTTTAATAGGAGTCTTAAGTTTTTTCTTTTTGTAAAATGTGTTTTTTAAGGCTGGACGTGGTGGCTCATGCCTGCACTTTGGGAGGCAGAGGTGGGTGGATCACCTGAGGTCAGGATTTTGAGACCAGCCTGACCAATATGACGAAACCCCGTCTCTACTAAAAGTTCAAAAATTAGCTGGGTGTGGTGGCGGGCACCTGTAATCTCAGCTACTTGGGAGGATGAGGCAGGAGAATCGCTTGAACCCGGGAGGTGGAGGTTGCAGTGAGCCGAGATCACGCCATTGCACTCCAGCCTGGGGGACTAGAGCAAAATTCTCTCTCAAAAAAAATGTGTTTTAAAAATTTGTTTGCATTCTTTAAAATGGCTTTATTGAGATATAATTCACATACCATATAATTTGCCCACTTAACGTGTATAAGTCAATGAGTTTGGTATATTGCAGTATTAACCTTTTTATAATTGTGGTGAGAAATATAACACCAAATTCATCATTTTAACAATTTTAAGTGTACAATTCAATGACACTAATGACACGCATCGTGTTGTGCAATCATTACTACAGTCTATTTCAAATTTTTTTTCATCATTCCGATAGTATCTTTCCTTGATTTTGAAAGACGACATCTTCAACTGGGCAAACTGACAAAAAACCCACTTAACTTTGGGCTGTCAAGTGTAGTCTTTGGCTGCCTGACATGTTGGCTCACCCCTATAATCCCAGCGACTTGGGAGGCCAAGGAGGATTGCTTGATCCCAAAAGTTTGAGACCAGCCTGGGCAACATAGTAAGACCCTGTCTCTTAAAAAAAATGTCTACTCTTGGTTTGGTGAATGGGGCGTGGTGGAATTCAGCTCCCATGTCCCCCTTGGCCAGCCACCTGGTGCAGCACACACTCCCAGGCTTTCTCAGCAGCCCTGTTGATGCTGTCACTGAAGCACTAGGCCCAGACAGGACAAGAGCTTGCCATCCAATGGGGAGAAGTGTTGGAGGGGAGGAGAAGGAGGATATTCATTGGTTGGGTACTGATGCTGAGCTACGCCCTATGCTGAGGGCTTGCATATCTCTCCTGAAAAGGACTGCTTCATGCTTTAATTCCATACGCAGTGAACTGAATAACATACCATACCTCAAAGTATCTCACAATTCTTCCAGTTCTATTGGAGACTCGGGGACCTGTGTAGCTGTACAGAGCAGAGGAGGTAGAAGAAAGGGGTGTTTGTGGAGGCAAAAAGAGGACTCTTGATGGGCAAATCTCTGATGGACAAATCTGTCCTACTCCTGTGCTAACTTCCTGGGATTACTGTAGCAAACTACCACAAACATAGGGACTTAATGTAAAGAAATTTATTGTCTCGTGGTACTAGAGGACAGAGGTCCAAAATCAAGGTGTTGTCAGGGCCATGCTCCTTCCAAAGGCTCCAGGGTAGGATCCTTCCTTGCCTCTTCCAGCTGCTGGTGGCCCCAGGCATTTCTTGGCTTGTGGCTGCACCATTCCAATCTCTGCCTCTGTTTTCACATGGCCTCTCCTCTTCTCCATGAGTCTCTTCTTTTTGTGACCCTTATAAGGACACTTATCACTGGATTTAGGGCCCACCTGGATAATCCAGGATGATCTTATCTCGAGATCCTTAATTATATCTGCAAAGCCCTTTTTCTAAATAAGGTCACCCTTGCAGGTTCTGGGATTTAGGACATGGACACATCTTATTGGGGGCCACCATTTAGCCCATTACACTCCCATGTGCCCTTGGCCAACAGCAGTGAAGAATAAACCCTTTGATCCACCAAGAGGTGAGACCCAGTCCTATGTCACCTCTGTCTATTATAACAATGGTGGCAGAACCAAGGCCCAAGGCTCGTGCCAAATCTGCCATTTTGGAATGATGCCACCATTCCCATTTTATGTCCAGGTCACAGGACACAATCTCACATTAATGGATAGGCTTCCTATTGGGTGTATTCACATGCAGGGACCATGGCAGCCTCAAAGAGAGACACTCAATTTTCTGGTTTGCTGTAGGGGGATGGCAGTGAGCTGAGGAAGCTGCCCCGGTGTAAGCTAGAGGTTGCCTGACCTCGAGGGGAATTTGCAACTCTTTGTGCTGCTTCTCTTCCCTCACTGATAGCTGAGGTGCAGGTGGAGGAAATGCTGCTTCTTTAAACAGAGAGCTTCATTTCCCTCAGGGCTTCAAGTGAGGTGCCTGGGGTGGAGACAGAGGGGCCTGCCTTCCCTGGCTTCCCAAGGTAGCTTTCCTATTCACCCCTCACTCCTTTTCTTTAGTGAGACAAAGCTCACAGGCTGGAGGAGAGGTGTGGGGAGAAGGACTCTACCACTCTACTTTTTTCTAGATGTTCTCATGTGCAGAGAATTGGGCAACTTCTTCCTCCTGACACTCCCTAGCTTTCTCCTTTTCTAAGGATCCACTTATACACCAGCAGTGTCTAAGTAAAAAGGAATCGCAGATTCCTGCTAACATGGTTTGCTAGGTGATTTGTGCTGCTTATATATAATTTTTTTTTTTTTAATTTTGGAAAGATTGAAAGGAAGGAAGGCAGTCATGGGCTCTGCGTACACTTGGAAACATAAATGAGATGTAATTTCAAGACCTCCCTGATGGGCAATGTCAATATGGAGAATTCCCTGGAGAGTGAGAGCTTGGGCTCCACCAAGGGGGAGGAGCTGTGGTGGACAACAGGAGGTCAGCTTCCTAGCAGGTGAAAAGAGCCTGGACCTGGAGGGGAGGATTGGGGGATGAGGGAGGTGAGAATGAAGAGGGTAACAGGAGGCACACCATGCGCAGAAAGAAGACCAGGGCTCACCAAGACTCTCACAGGGTGGTCTATAGGAAAGGAAAGCCTGAGCGCAAGGGTGGGGCTGTTCAGTGGACAGTGTGGAAGGCTCTGAAACTCTGGTCTCCACTGCACTGGCGAATGCTGGGGAAAACCAGCAGTGATGCATTGGGAAGGAAGGATGCACACATCTGGGCGGCCTGTGGAATTACTATTTCTATTCTTGCTTCTAAATGGATGGGTAGGATTCAGACTTGAACTTAGTACATTTATCCTATAAATGAAGGTCTTTCTGTCAGGGATCTCTGCTCCGAGTGGTTTCACAAATGAATGAGTAGGATGCAGGGTGTGACAAAAGAACTAACATTTATTGAGCACCTACTATGTGTCAGGCACTGTCCTAGGGGCATGTGTGTGTGTGTGTGCACATATTGTCTCATTAAATCCTCACAGTGACTCTCTGAAGTTTGTTTTTGTCACTTTTGAGGAAATTGAGACTCAGAGAGCCAAGACTCTTTGGCCAAGGCCACACAATCAGGAGTCATGGACCCACATTCCAACCTGGGTGCACCTTACTCAAGGCCTGTTTGTTGGACAAGCTCTTACTGAGGTCAACGCAAAGCCTGATGTTGGTTCTCTCCCCTGCAGAGCGCCAAGCTGCCCCACCTCTCTAGGTAATCTTTCCCTTTCCAGCTCTCCTGTGGCTGGGTGTGGCTGAGCTGACACAGCATCTGGGTTTTTTTTCCAGACTGCACCCTTGGTAAGGTTCCAGTCTGGCTTATGGTGACGCTATTTCCTTTAGGGCCTGTCATCGCTTGTGGCTTTGCCTCTCAGCCCTCCAGTGGGTGACGTGCTGCCTTTGGTGCCAAGCAGTCACTCATTTGGAGAAGCCCAAGGCAGGATGGCATGCACTGGCATTCCCACACTAGCCACACTGGGCGGTAGGTGCTTTGGAGTGCGGTGTCTCAGTGGGTTCCACCCAAGCTCCATCAGCTCACAGCAGCTGCCTGGAGAGCTGACTCACACCCGTCCTCCACATCCTCCCTGATCAGAAGGACCCGGACTAGCTTTTTTTTTTTTTTTTTTTTGGCTTTAAGGAAGTGCCTTTGAATTTCAAAGGTGCCGGCCTCCTGACCAAGTGGAAGAAAGTCAATCCCCTCTGCAGCTGGTCTTCCTGCTGC
Organism: Homo sapiens; assembly: GCF_000001405.40. NCBI lineage: Eukaryota > Metazoa > Chordata > Mammalia > Primates > Hominidae > Homo > Homo sapiens. The sequence continues at coordinate 14,271,500 of NC_000006.12, forward strand.
TCTCCTTGCCTGGTAAATTTGGAACTAGGGCTTTTGGGACAGCCTAGTCATAACACTGCCAACCACTCATTCTTGTGATTGGACTGTGGGGTCCGGTCACAGTGTGATTAAATGGATGTAGTAATTGGAGTACAGCAGATACTCAACAAGAGGAGAGGCCAGGTAACCAAATCTATGCACCTCCTAGAATATTTGGATCTGGCATTTACTGAGCAGGTTTAAGAGCCTAACTCCTTTCTGTTAGAATAATAGGATGTTTCAGAGTTAAGGTCACACCCTCTGGGGTAATCTTTATCACAAAGGTTGTTGAATAATAGGCCAATTTTTCAAGTTATTCTATGCAACCTCAACCTTGAACTTAAAGGGAAGCTAGAGATTAAAACTCCTTTGCAAAGATTATGACAATGAGAAAATCTAGTGTGGCCAACTCCATCTTGCTTCTAGCCTCACAGGCTGTTGGTCTTCATTCGTTCATGGGTGTAGGCCAAGCTAAACATGAAAGGAATTTAGCTTATAGTTTATCTTTGAAGCAAGAATGATAATAGTCCTTCCCAAAAACTAACCTTCTCCTTGCTAAGGGACTAAACCACCTTTGAAAAACTAATAAAAGTTTAAAAGATTATGGTTATGGGAGGGGCCTGAACTCTGCTAAAATGTAGGTACAGTTAAACAATAACCCGCCATTGTTCCTAGCTTGCTTTTCTATAATTCCTCACTGCTCAGGAATTATGTGGTCAGAGATTACAAGATTTGTGACTTCCCCAATTGCTCCTATAGATAACATCACTATTGTATAACCTAAGATTGGCCTTTGGAGATAGTTTTCAGACTTTTGCATTCTGGCGACTTACTTCACCTGGACCCATGACTCATGACTCAACCAGTCTTGTGGCCTCCACCAAGATGCTGACTCAGGACAGGAGGACCATTTTCCATACTCCTGTGAATTCATCCCCAACCAATTAGCAGCCCCCATTCCCTAGCCCCCTGCCTAACAAACAATCTATAAAATCCATAGCCTCTGAGTTCTGAGGGAGGCTGATTTGAGTAGTAATATCTCCTGTCCTCCTGCTCGGCTAGCCCTGCAATTATTAACCCTTTCTCTACTGCAATACCACTGTCTCAATGAATTGGTTTTATCAGTGCAGCAGGCAAAAAGAACACATCAGGTGATGCCACTAGAAACTGGCACTAAGCTGGATTTGGGTTCTTTAATTTTGTTTCCTGCTTAATAGGTTATAAGGATCATTCCAAGTCATGGATAGAGTCATCCAGGATGGGTGTATTGATGCCACTGTTAAGCCAGTGGGCAGCTGTGATAGAGGGAGCAGAGTCAGTAGACCTGGAAGTTTGCCACTAATGAGGCTTGGCTGCTAGGAAGGTTGTAATGGCTCTGCACTTGAGCTTGCCCATCTCTAACATGGCAGTGACAAGGCTTCCTTCTCAGGGAGGTGACCTCAGGCCTAGCATGGCCCACTGGACCCTACGCTCCTTGAGAACAGGGGTCTCCCTTGTTCTTTGTTACATCCTCAATGCCAGGCATGATAAGGGCTTGATGAAGCTTTGTCCATTGGATCTTTCTGGGTTTGCCAGCCTTCCTCGTCTACACCACAGCCACGGTCTCGTATCGACAGGATCTGGATTGAGATTTGCGTTTGGATCATTCCAATCTATCCCACATCTCCACCTATTGTGGGAATAGCTCTATTTCCAAAGACCAATCTACTTTTCCACGAGGCCACACCCGTGCAGTATGTAAGTCGGAAGCAGAAATGAAAAGGGGAAGAAAGTTGAAATACTAAAAGTGGGAGGAGAGAGGGAGAGTGTGGGAGCAAGGCCGGGACCCACCCCAAAAGAGATTGGAATACATGTGCAGCTTTAGTTCATGGCCTGCCAAATACCTCGTGCTGTGCCTCTGAATGGAAAATGGGGTAGAACAATGAGCTGGAATTAACATCGCCTTTGAAAAGCAACTGCTGACAGCAGGCGTTCTGCATATGCCAAGTATTGCCTTCAGACCAGAGAAGCCTTTTCTGGCCCACATGAGCCCCGTGACAGCCTGCAGAAGGCAACACACCCTAGATCCCTAGATGGCTGTGACCTCCAGCCCTCTGTGCCCTGAGCATTTCTGTAGAAAATGTGTGTATTTAAAAAGGCCATGTATGTTTCTAGAAGGAAGGTGAAAACAAGATAGGTATTTGAGGAATTATATATCGATCGGGTACACATTTTGTGGCCTGGTTTAGCAAAGATGTATTACAGGTCTCAATCAAATTGCTCAGATAGACGAATGAGAAATTTCTGATTTGATATTATTTAGGAGTCAAGCCTGCCATTGCTGAGATTGTGGTACTTAAGGGAAAAGTGCCCTTTTACATATTCTTGACATGTTCTTGATTTTGGTTAATGGTATTATTCTCCAGTTTTGAGCCAGAAAAATCTGGAGCCACCCATAACTCCAGGCTGTCAGTCACTTGCCACTCTCACCCACTTGGTCCCCTAACCCTGTCTGCTTCCTTCCCAGTCACGTTACACCTCTGTATCTTCATTGCTGCCTCACTGGTGTTGATGATTGAACTGACTGCTCCTGTCTTCTAGAATTTTCTTGGTTCAGTTTCTTAAGAATGGCAGAGCAGACTTTATTCAAGGGGAGCCATGGCGATAGGGTATGGGGACCACAGCAATGGGGTCTTGCGGTGGGGGAGAGAGATCGGACTCCACTTCAACTCTAGCGAGGACAAGTGGGGATTTATAACCAGGGAGCTGAGTGGGGTCAGGGGTGGAAAATGACTAAGAGAAAACATCAAGGATGAGGGGTTTCTGGCTAAACTGACTTGATCAGTTACTGCAAAAGGCAGGTCGGGGTGATAAGGCATTAAGGGTGGTAAGGCACCAAAGAGGGGATTTTTGCTAAAGTGAGCAGAATTCTTGCTCAGACTGGATTCTATGAGGACACAGAAGGAAGCCCAAGTTCAGGCCCCATCAAGCAGAGGACTTGGAGGAGCCTAGATAAAGTTTTGGTCAAAGGAAAAGAGTCTGTTAAGTTCAACCTCTGATTCTGCCAGATTTGGCTTTCTTTCAGAAAGTCCAACTAAACCATTTCCGTTGCACAACCTCCATTGTATGCCACTTTACACAGGGAAAAACGGGAGTAACGTGTTTAACCAGCAAGACAAGGCAGAGTGCAGTGGCGGAGCCCACGCTGGGGTGCGTGTCTCAACAACTGGCCTGGGTACTGCTTTGAGCCTCAGTGATGAGTCACTTTATTCATTCATTTATATGGCAAATTGTATGAAGCACCTGTGACGTGCAGGCAGTGTTCCAGGCACTGGAGATGCGTCCTGGTCCTCTTGCAAGTTATTTTGCTGTGGACCAGCCTCTATGAGAATCAGGCACATAGGCAGAGGTATCCAGGGTCAGGGGCCTTCTAGGAAAGGCTGATCGCAGAGCTAAGGCAAGAAGCTCGCTGAGGTCAGCCCACGTGGTGTCAGGAGTGGAGGCGGAGAGGCCCCAGCTGCAGAAACACAGGCACCTCCTTGCTTGTTGAGGTTTGTTTTAGGAGCTGTCAGGGAAGAAGGGAGGGAAATGGGGCACTAAAAATACCCACGGATGTTTCCAGAAACCTCTGATGTCTGGGCTCCCACTGTGGATAGCCTGCCAGATGGCTGTGTCTCCCTCAGAGCTGTGAAACCCACCAGTGTCAAGGTTGGATCAAAGGCGCTTTATGGCAACCGGTCAAAGAATCAACCAGAACAGCTTGGCGTGTAGGCAATCTGCCCAGGCCTGACCAGCCATGCCCCTCATGAAGAGGCCACATTGCCATTAGATATCCAAATTATAAGTGACTTCCAGATGCAACCCCAGTGAGCATCCTCTTCTGACTGTCCTCTGTTGCCACCCTTGGGGCTCTGCTTCCAGCTCTTTCAGCTCTATGTGGAGATTGGCAGCCCCCAGTGTGCTCTTGGGCCTGGAGGGACTCTACACAGCTCCACACTCGGGCTCCCTTGTTCATCCCAGCAGCGGCGAGCTTGGCAAAGCCAGGAAGTCTGGGATGAGGCCCAGGAGTGTCTCCCTCAGCCTGCACGCAGCAGCTGATAGGAAACCACAGCTGCCAGCAGCAGCGGCTGCAGAATGCTTGTGAGGGGCACCCTGCTCATAGCCATGGCTCCTGGGACAGGACGGAGCATGAGCCTCCAGCAGAGGTGGGTGGGGGTGAAGGCGAGGAGGCAATAATGCCTGCCCCTGATGCGCAGGGACGCAGGTGCCAGGCTGTGCTGGGGAGCTGTTCTAGAAGCCTAGCCTGGACTGGAAGGGCCCTGCCTGTGGGGGTTAGGGCAGGATCAGAGGAGTTGGGCAGGCAGAACTTTCTCCTGGGGAAGCACAAGTCAGAGGCGGTGGATGGGTGTCTTAGATAGGTCCTTCTGAATGCAGACACTGAGGCAAGACTTCAAGCACAAATCATTTATTTAGGAGGTTAGGCCAGGAAGCATGGATGGGGGAAGGGAGACAGATAAGGGAGGGAAGCAAGGGGGCTTATTAAGCCATTTGCCACAGTGGGCACCTGGAGCTTGATCCCACAGGGAGCTCCCGGAGACACTTTAGAACATGCCTTGGATTTAATCCATCTACGGGACGAGGAAGCTGGGCATTATCCAACAGTTCCTTGCTCATGATTGCTTGAGGCAGGCTTTCTGGGCAGTGACCTGGCACTCTGGATTCCCTGCAGGTGGACCTAGAAGGTTCCCCAAACCAGGCAAAAAGCAGAATGCCAGGGTTGGCAGTGAGCAGCCTCAGACATCGAGGGAAGTGTGGAGGGGATATGGGCTGAGTGCCAAGGCATCTTTATTAGGGAGTCTTGGCAAATAAGAGAACCTAAACATGGTGCTGCTGGGAGGTCAGGCCAGAGAGGGAGCCCAAAGAAGGTGAAGTGGTGGGCAGAGAATGAAGGAATTCCTGGAATTGAGAGATGACAGTTACCTCCCTTTTTAATGGAGTGCCTGAGCCTCTGCTGTGGAGGGGAGAAGATGCCACCTGCCACGGTGATTTGCTGGTCACTCTGGTCTCAAGGGGAAGCAGGACTATTTTCAGGTGGGCCATGCCTTTCCTCCTACCCCTTCCTAAGCACTTTTAGGAGTATCTGGAGTATGGAATAGGCCCTTTAACCCACAGAGCTGTGAATGACTTTTAATTAACAGGAAATGCTGTGGCACATAGCACATATAGCAGACATTGAATCTGTCTCTAATTAGAGACATTTTGAGGTTCTGAACAGCTCAAGTCTGCAATTCTCATTCTCCTTACATGCAGCCACTCGTGACAGAGGGAAGGGCCAGCACTGCTCCTGAGTCCTGGGCTCCTGGCTAAGGGTCCTCCTCCTCTTCCTCCTCTTCCTCCTCTTCCTCCTCCTTCTCTTCCTCCTCTTACTCCTCCTCCTCTTTCTCTTTTTCTTGCTCTTCCTCCTCCTTGTCCTCCTCCTCCTCTTTCTCGTCCTCTTCTTTCCCTTCTCCTCCTGCTCATCTTTTTTTCAAACTGGTTGCCACCTCTAAAATTATACTTTGCTAAACAACAAAAAAACCCTTAAATATAAAAAAATAAAGTGGTGGGAGGATGTGGTTTATTTTGGTCTGCTTTAGGTTCTGGGTGCATGAGCCAGTGCTTATTTTCAGATCTGTCTATTCCTCTTTCTGTGTCTTGTGATCTCACTTAACTCATCCTGCTAGAGTCAACAGATCTCTCCGTGCACAGGAAGCCAGACTATCAAGGCAGCAAAGAGTTTTAAGGCAGCTAAGTGAACAGTTTTGGTTTTTTAAGTGGAAAATTCTTTAAACGTGATGCTACATTTTACTTTTGATAGGTGACTAAAACAAATCCAGGAGATGGGAAATTCCATACCTGGTATTTCCTGAGGCCTGCCTAGCAATGGATCTGACCATTCTCTTTCCACCTGTGTGCTATCTTCCCGCTCTGAGCTGCCATCATCTCCATTGCTGTGATCACTGTCATAGCCTCCCTCCTCCACTTTGCCTCCCTGCAGTCTGCTCTCAACACAGCAGCCTGGGTGACCTGTGAGAACATGCCAGGTCAACTTTCTGCTCTGCTCAGAATTCCCCCACAGTTTCATGGATTGCAGAGGCTGCTCAGTGGGCTGTCCCACCCCATCTCTCTGGCCTCCCTCCTACTCTTCCCTGCTCTCACTCACTCACTCCCACCTCTCCTGCTGACCAGTCCCTTTGCTACATGCCTCAGGACCTTTGCACTTGCCGTCACTCTCTCTCTCTAGAATGTTCTTCTCTTGTTCTCTAGGTGGCTTATTCCTTCAGGTTCTTGTTGACTTGCTGCCTTCTCACTGAAGTTTTCTCCAATTTTTCTATTCAAAAGTGGACACTAAACCACCTTTCCTATTGCCATCTTGCTTTGTTTTCCTCCATAGCCCTGTGTACTATCTAATATAGTATACATTTTCTTCTTACTCATTTTGTTTACTGTCCATCTCTCAGTGAATGTGGCCTATTGAGAACAGGCATTTTATCTGAGTTTTCACTGCCTTATGTCCAGCACAGAACAGTGCCTGGCACATAGTCAATGTCCAAAAACACTTGTTGAATGAATCCGTGGCAGGCTTCAGGGTGGTAGGACAGGAAAGAGAAACACCTACTGGGCTTCCCTTAACCCAGAGGTTGCAGTCGGGAAGCCCACAGAGACATTTGCTTTAGCTTGCACGGTGTTTTTCAAAGACTCAAGTTAGTCATCAGTGCTGAAGAATACGGTGACTACATCTCAAAAGAAATAATAATAATATGGTGACTTCACACAACACCCAGATAACTGGCATAGCTTGAAAAATATAGAAAAATCAGAAGTGCCCCTTGCATATGGCAATACTGAGCAGTAGCCACTCGCCAAACCACTTTGATGGGCACCCTCTCCTGTTTCACTCACTACCCAGCCCCTGGTGGGCAGGTGAGTTCGAAGAAGGGGAGGAGGAGATGGAGGGAGAGGTAGGGGGCAAAAGACGGGGAGGAGGAGAGGGAGAGGAAGGTGGGGGCAGGAACCAGTGCAGCCCCCAGATGCTGCTTTGCCAGCGAGGGGAAAGTGCCCCTTGCATTTAGCTGCCCAGGTTCCCACTGGCAGCTGCTCACAGCGTCCTGGTCCCTCTGATCTTTGAGCTGTAAAGCCCTTTGTCACATCCAGGCTCCCTAGCAACAGCAGCCATACAGGCATGTGGTCAAGAATGGATGGGCACAAATGCAGCTTAGGAGAGGAAAGAAAATGTATCTGTTGTTAAAGTGCATACAATTCTCTACACACGTTAGAAGTTTCAAGCGGCTTTACAACATCAGTTTTGCTAAATCCGGCAATCCTATAGTGTCATTGGCTGAGTATTCCTGAGCACGTCTTACACATGCCAACCAGGGTGCTCACTGAACAGAACTAATTAAAGAAGAATAAAAAAAGATAAGGAGACATATTTAAGCTTCAACTTCTGAGTTATTATAATTAACAAGCAATAAGAAAAATGATATTACTTGTTCCTCATCTTGTATTTGTTACATCCTTTTATTCTAGGCACCTTCCCCACCTCCTGCATGGTTTTGCCTTTGAAGGAGCTTGGGCAGAAGTGCTAAGTCAACAGCCTCTGTTAGTAGATTTAGAAATAAGAAAAGAGGCCAGGTGCAGTAGCACAGGCCTGTAATCAGCACTTTGGGAGGCCAAGACAGGTGGATCACTTGAGGGCAGCAGTTTGAGACCAGGCTGGCCAAAATGGTGAAACCCTGTCTCTACTAAAAATACAAAACAAATTAGCTGGGCGTGGTGGCGCACACCTGTAGTCCCAGCAACTCGGGAGGCTGAGGCACAAGAATTGCTTGAACCTGGGAGACAGAGGTTGCAGTGAGCCAAGATCCCACCACTGCATTCCAGCCGGGGTGACAGAGCGAGACTCCATCTCAAAAAACAAAACAAAACAAAAAACCAAAAAAACCAAAACCAAAAACAAAACAAAACAAAAAAACCCCAAAAAACAAAGAAATAACAAAAGGCCTGTCAATTAGTTGAATTATCTATAAAATATTTCTTTTGCCTTATATGTCTGCAACATTGAAAAGATACAGATGTAACCTATTAACAGATGCAGGTTGCTATAAAATTACGTTTCTTTAAAATTTAAAATGCACACCTCCCTCCCATGTCCCCATCTGTCACGATCAACAGTTCTGATTTAAAACCTACACTTTGAAATTCGACTGCTTCGAATTATGAGAACCACGAATTTAGGTAATTGATTTCTTCTCTCAGATTATTCAGTGTATACCCTGGAAATATGATTAATTAGGCTTGCCTGTATAACAACACATACTGATTTGAGAAAAACTAATGCTGTGTTTAGTAACCTGGACCTTTAGTTTGGTTCTGCAAAGAAATTTCTTCACACTGCTGGGTGTATTATCTTTCCCTCAGTAGAAGCTGAAATTGCATTTGCTAACTAATTGTTGGTTCACTGTTTAATGGCAGGGGAGAGACCTCAGCCGATCAGTGAGCAAGTTAGCTAAGCACCTATAATGTAACAATCACTGTTCCCTACTGTCTTAGTCTGTTTGTGCTGCTATAATGAATGACCACGACCTGGGTGGAGTAGACAACAGACATTTATTTCTCACAGTTCTGGAGGCTGAGAAGCTAGAGATCAGGGTGCCAGCATGGCTGGGTTCTGGGAAGGGATGGCTTCTATTATGTCCTCACTTGGCCTTTCACTGGTGATTGCAGGCAGAGAGGGAGCAAGGGATCTAGTGTCTCATCCTCTTGATAAGGTCACTAATCTCATTATGAGGGCCCCACCCTCATGCCCTCATCTAACCCTAATCACATCCCAAAGGCCCCACCTCCTAATACCAGCACAGTGGGGATTAGGGCTTCCACATATGGATTCTGGGGGCTACAAACATTCAGCCCCATGGCACAGGCCACAGAGAAGCAAGGATAATTGAGGACCACGAGGTCCTCTGGGACTCACGGTTCATAGAGAGACAGATAAAGAAGCAAGTACAGTGTTTGGAAAACAAACAAAAACCTACAAAGAGTTCTAGAGGATTGTAGAGGGAATGACCCTTTTCATAAGCAAAGATCAAGGGGCTGGAAGGATGTGTGACATTTAGGAAACGGTGCCCAGTCTGACTATAATGGTGGTGGCTGCTGCGCCTTCGGCCCCCTTTGCCTATGCCATTGCACAGTTGCTGCTCCGATTATGATTGTCACGCCTGGCCTCACTAACCAGTTGTCTTGGGACATGGTTCTGCCCGGCGAATGCCGCCTCTACAACCTGTGCTTTTTCCAAGGTCTTCTTGAGGAGCCAAAACAAGCTCCCCAGAGACAAGAAAAGAGCATACACTGAGGACCGCCCGCTCTCTCCTGGTGACATATCAGACTGGTGTCTGAGGAGGGTGCACTCTCCTGCCACCTGCAGGACACGGGGCCACCCTTGGGATGTGCCTGGTGCAGGAATGCTGGGGCGAAGGGGACTTCACTGGGCAGAGGGAGCCTTTGGGTATGGGAGGGTCTGGGGTAGAGGTGGTGGACCTCATCGGTCATCACAGACGTGCCCTGGGGATGCTGGCGCCACTCCAGCCGCGTGGTGGGCAGGCATCAGAGATCCATTCTAAAAAGATAAACAAGGCATGGATTTGGGAGTGTGGGAGGCAGGAAGGCCGCGTCCCGAGCCATCAAATGCAACGGCGCCTTGATGTGAAGTAGGGGAGACTGAAGGCAGAAGTGTCCCCTCTGCCTTGCTGAAAACTGGAGCTGCTGGGTGAAGACAGGGTGATTACCCACGTCTGACTTTCCTTTTTATATCTGGGGTGCCAGGGCTTAACGATCCCTCCCCCTACCCCCATTTCTCCAGGAAGCCTTGAAATCCTTTGCCAAGCAGGGCACCAGAGTTCCTGGGGCTCGTCTGCAAATTAGGTCCTCACCAGCATCCTCCTTTCATTGTGGGACCTTCTCATTTCTGCGGCATTTTCCATCACACCAAAACCTAAGACTAAGTACCCTCACCATCCTAATGTACCTAATGATTGTCTACACCTCCTGAAGTTTCCTGTCACCTTCTCTTCAAGTAGCTTTGCCATTAACTGGGTCCCTTTAAGCAGGTTGCTGAATCCCAGTTTTCACTTCTATAGCAAGAAGGACTAGAATCAGATAATTTCTAAGATCCCTACCAGGTAAAGAGGAGAATACCAGCATCCACTCAGACTTTTCCTACACATATTGGCTCCTGTAGAAAGTAAATTGAAAGGAAACGGGAAGGAGAGACGGCACGTATTGAATTTCTCATTAGCCCCACTGCCTGGTTCTCATTAGTGAGCCTTCCGGGTTACAGGCACAAGGGCCAGGACTTATTTTCATGGCTGAATAGCACATGTGAAATGTAGGCGATTTCTAATCCATATTATATGAGCTCCACACTTTGCTATCTTATAAAGTAATGGGCAACGCTCAAGGAAAACCCCATCAGAATGACGGGCTAATCCTTCAGGGGGAAAATATTGCTGTTCTGCATAAGCTTTGGCTCTCTGCTTAATTAATCCCTAAAACTTTCAGGCCTTAATGAGAATAATTAGACTTGACAGTACTGAGCTTAATGCACAACTACAGACAACAAAAACCGTGTTCGGTTTATAAGCTTCCCAGAGCTTGCTGAAAGACAGGCTAATGTTATTTACAGCGGCCCCAGTGAGGGGCCGGACGAAGGTTCGGACTGGAAATGTGCTTGGCTCTCCCTGAGGACAATTTCTCTGAGGAACGGGGTACTATAGCCCCCTTTTGTGGCTTTCCCTCCATAACAAACCGTGGTCTAGACAGGATCTGGCTAGAAATTCCCTTATTACCACCCCGGCCAGACTCCATTTATCATCACCTTGAACGTAATGCTCGCGCAAAACCTCCAGGCCTCTCCCGTTCACATAACGAATCGAGGGAGGCAGAGCTCTTACGGCGCTCCAGCCAGTGTCTGCCTGCTTCTGGAAATACCTCATCTTCCAGAAAAGCATTCATTTGTCAACAGAGGGATAATGCTAAAACCTTAAAGACAAATCGGCCAGAAGGCAGGGATGGGAGAAGCAGGCAGGGTACAGCCCGGGAGAGACGGCAGCTTTGCCTCGGTGCAGTTATTTGATTTGTTAGCCTTGTGCCAGCCTCAGTCTTCTCCAAGAAGAGGTTTAAATCTCTTCTTGAAACGGTTTGAGCGTACACTCCCCAAACAGAGAGTCCAGAAGTATCCCTCCGGCGCTGCAGGGATGACCAAGTTAATTTTGTCTGTAACCGTGAGAGGCTTTTCAATGAGGGGCCAAATAACTGCACAGATTCTGGGTGTTGGGTGAAGCCTGTCCCCAAACTTGGGCGAAGCTGTTGGAGCTGGGCGTGCAGACTCGAGCAGGACAAACCGTCCCACCTGGTGAGATGACATCAGGAGTCCTTAGGAATAGGGATGGATTTCTGCACATTCCATTGGTGCTGATTATCACAGGAGATATGAAAGTGGCGATCAAAGCTACCTTAACCATCCTCGAGATTATAACAAAAGTGATAATGTCCATATGGAGATTCTTCTCAGAAATGAGAAACCGCAGATAAGCAAAATGACTGTCCAGTGCTTCTCAGTTTGGACATAATCTATGAGTTCAGAGTTCTTGCAGATCTAAGGAGATGAAAAGAAAAGGGTGCAACATTGGGATTCAGAAGCCAACATGTTACCTTTTTAAAAACAGAAATCAATACACACACGTGCCTGTGTACACACACACACACACACACAAAGCAATGTGAGGACAGGAACTTTGACCCTGGAAATGGCACCAGGCTAGAGAGCTTTGTTTTTAATTTTCAATCAAGGATTTAAAACAGACTTCAAAGGGCATTTAAGCTGACAGTTTTATTTGCTCCTTGAGGAAGAGGAAAGATGAATAAGCGTAAAGACAGATCATTCGCAAAATAATTGCAGCCCTGACATATCTAAATGAGTTTGTAAAAGAAAATACAGTGGCAATTGATCTTATTAATTAGAGATGTACCACGATGGTAATACCCACTTATCCACAGATTGCCTGCAGCTACAAAAATAAAATAAAATAAAATAAAATAAAATAAAATAAAATAAAATTAACCACTTTCTCCTGGAGAACACAATTTCTTTCCCTCCCTGCCATAGAAAGTCATCTGGGAAAAAAATCCCTGGTGATCTCTTCTCTTCACAGTGGTTAACAGCCCTTAGAGGGCAGTGTGGATGGGTTTCCTTTCTGCCCATGGAGGTTTGGGTTTATACTGGATTGCACAATGCCTTGCATGGTACAGTGGCTTGTCGCAATTGATCGAACATGTAATCTGACAAACAAACAAACAAAAATGGGCTACAAAAAAGAGAGAGCTGCTTTTTAAGCCTGTATGTGTCATTTACCTGTGACGAACAGCAGTAAGCGCGATGGTAGGCCCGACTCTCTCCATTGCTCATTCTGTCTCTGCTCTTTCCATTATCTTATTTCTGTGAACAATTGCTTAGCACTCGAACAGAATAGCCCAGCGATAAAACGCTGAGTGACGATTGGGTGGCAGCCACCTCTGAGTGCGGTCCAGCCCTGTGCCATTGGAGGCGAATCTTCAGGTTGCTGGATTTGAAACTTACACAAACACTCACTGTATTATTGCAGAAGAGAGAGAGAATGGAGAGAGAAAGGAAGAGGAAGAGGACAAGAAGAGGAAAGAGAGGAGGAAAGGAAGAGGTGGGTAAATAATAAATTGTTTAGCACTGGAAGAATCATCTAGTGCTACTCCAGTCATTTCAAGGGTTGTGTGTGTGTGTGTGTGTATGTGTGTGTGTATTTTGGGCACCTGTGGGCAGGGGGGATCAAAGTGGGAGTACAGGCACAACTGTGTTTATAAGGCAAGTGGGAACTAAAACCCAGCCTTTGGTGTCTCACCAAGATGGACACAGTGGCAGGGCCCTGTATCTGCCCCTCAAGGGGGAGGTTTTTACTAATTTGCACTAAGGCCTAGTGGGGCCAGAGGGTGAAGAGTGGTGTGATTTGAAAACAAAGCAGGGCAACAGGTTTGATATTAAAAATGACCCATTTCACCCTTGATCTTCCAACTTGTCTGGAATAGAAAAACTCATGGCCAGCAGACTCCAAGCACATATCGATATTACCCACACAAAGTTAAAAAAAAAAAAAAAGACATGAAGTAGTGAGGTGTAGTGGTGGTGTGCAGCTGTAGTCCCAGCGACTCAGGAGGCTGAGGCAGGAGGATGGCAAGTTTGAGGCTACTGGGAGCTATGATCATCCCACTGTACTCCAACCTGGGCAGCAGAGCAAGATTCTGTCTCAAAAAATAAAAGAAGGACCTGATTCTTTCAAAAGCAAAATACATTTTAATATCACTGTGACTGTGCCTTGACTTTCCTGGAGTAACAAGATTAAATTTATTATGAAATTTCAAATTAACTTTAAAGGAGGACTTGACAGCTTTTGCAGGTTGTAGGGACACCCAAGCCCATCTCACCTTTCTCTTACCTCCTGGAAGCAGCATCTTTGTTGAGGTGTGAAGAGCAAATATGGCTCATTGGTTCTTGGTGTCACCTGCTACAGGGACTCACCAGTTCTGACCTCCAAATTAGCCAGGGTGAACGCAGATGCAGGAGATGCCGTGTGAATGCTGGGGAAGGCCATGGAAAAACACAGGCCTGAGTAGCCGACAGGCCCCAGTCAGGGAAAGAAAAAGAATGCTCCCAACAGATCAAAGCCCACAGTCTCTTAAAATGGAAATGAACATTTAAAAAAGGCCTTTCTCAAGGGAGAAATATGCAGTAAATCAGAGCTTTTGAAAGACAACTGGGGCCTGTGCCGGTTTTTGAATAACTCGTCGTTTAATAAATGTTCTATTTTTGACCCTTTAGGGAAATATACAACTCCATCTGAAACTTATGAGCCAAAATAATTTAACTTTTTTTCCATCTCATTTTTATAAGTTTTGTGATGGAGACAAATGATCTGGAAGCTTTCTTTTTAAGGTTTTATGATGAAGCGAGGTCATTTAACAAGAGAGAAATGGTTTTCTCTGCACACCAGCTTTGACTCGGTGAGTGGCTAGTTAGTCCCAGCATCCGAAGTCTCAGGATCCACAAAGAGGAAGCTGTGCATGGAGTTTTGAGGAATTGTTCTTGGTTTTCTTTGTAAGGGCTTCATGAAAAGCATGTAAACAAGAGAAGAGTAGATCATCTCTTCTAATGTGTGTGTATGTGTGTGCGTGCATGTACATAGAACATTTGAAACTCTACATCGGTGACTGTACCTTGACTATATGAAACTATATGTCATGCATCCTCTGTACTGGTAAAAAGGAAGTACTTAATATATGTTGGAATTAAGTTGTTGGATGTTTTCCACATCTTTTCTAATCCCTAGGATCCTAGGCACACAGTTTGTCCACAATATATTCTCATTGTCTTGTTGTGCTGTTTTATCAAATCTTACCTATCTTCAACTGCCTTTGGACTGACACATACTGGACCTGAGAGATCAGCTTCCTGTCCACCAGAGGCTTGAATTGTTAAAAATGTTACAGGCTCATTTTACCTCTGATGAGTGGGTGCCACAAAATCTCGGGAGCAGATGTCCCTCATTTACTCACATTGCTCCGTCCCATCCCTTTCTGCTGGGTCCTGAGAGCAGCCTTCTCCCTGGCACCCAGCTGGGATTCCCACTAACCCAACTCAGGTTCAAGGGCTGAGGGAATTCAGGATCTGAGGGATGGCTCAAAGACCACATGGAGTTCAGTTTTGCATGTTTTCTTTGAGTGCCAGCCAGCAAAGACCGTGGCCTCACATAATTTTTCTGCCGGGTGTGGAATAGTGCCATAGAAAGATGATTCATGAGAAGAAATTGTCAAGTTTCTGCCTGGAACTGAATGGAAAAAAATTGGTTGAAAAAAATCCCAGACATGCACACAGAAGATACGTAGGACCAAATTTATATCTTTAGCTTTGGGAATCTACATTCATTATTTCTCTCACTTGACTTGAAAATGGGTAAAAATCTGGCCACAGTGCTCTTGTTGGGTTATAAATAAGATTTTTGTTTTTATATTAGCATCTGGCCCATAATAGTCGCTAATATTTACTTTGTGTTGCTCAGTTTATAAGGTGTTTTTTTCCTGTGTATTTAAATTGCATATTAGACCTGAATATAGGTATTTTTCTTTTACAATAAGAAAACTAAATCTTTGTGAGAGCCACATGGACAATACCAGTGTAAGTAATTTAATCCAAGCCCTCTGCATTCTTGCAACCTTTGTTTTAGCCACAAGGTGATTCTATTTGGTGATTGCATTCCAACAGCAATTCTCTGACACCAACTGGGTGTCCTACAATTCAATTCAATACATTTTGACACTAACTATCCCTATTTAACATCAGAACCCACAAGGTAAAGGGCAAGGTCCCTAATAATACTGCCCTTACTCACATACCAGCTACAAACAGGGTCCCCAGGCTACCCTCACTTCAGTCTGACTTGGCAACAAATTTAGGGGTTCCCACAACTCCCTCTGGCTCAAGAATTCAATAGAATGGCTTAGGAAACTCAAGTAAGCACTATACTTACTGTTACCATTTTATTATAAAGGATACAGATGAATAGCAAGAGAAAGAGATACACAGGGCAAGGCCTTGGGGGTAGAGGTGGGGTGCAGAGCTTCCATGGACTCCTTATGGAAGCCTTCCAAGCCTCTGGTGGACAGGAAGCTGATCTCTCAGGTCCAGTATGTGTCAGTCCAAAGGCAGTTGAAGATAGGTAAGATTTGATAAAACAGCACAACAAGACAATGAGAATATATTGTGGACAAACTGTGTGCCTAGGATCCTAGGGATTAGAAAAGATGTGGAAAACATCCAACAACTTAATTCCAGGTATGTTGCCTTCCCAGCACATGGATGCGTTCATAACCCAGGAACTTCTTGGAGCCTCTCTGTTTCAGCGTTTTATTAAGGTTCCATTATGCAGACATGATTTATTTAAATACCGGTCTTGGTGACTGAACCCAACCTCTCTAGTCCTTCTACCTTCCCCAGAGGTTCAGAGTGGGGCTGAAATTCTAACTCTTTAATCATATGGTTGGTTTATCTGGGTCTTGGTGACTGAACCCAACCTCTAGTCCTTCTACCTTCCCCAGAGGTTCAGAGTGGGGCTGAAATTCTAACTCTTTAATCATGTGGTTGGTTTATCTGGGGACCAGCTCCCATCCTAAAACTATCTAAGAGCCCTGTAATAAGTTACCTTATTAGCATAAACTCAGGTATGGTAGAAAGAGGCTTGTTATGAATAACAAGACAGTTCTATCATTCAGCAAAGTCCAAGGGTTATTGAAGCTGTGTGCCAGGAACTGGGGATAATGACCAGTTATTTTCTGTATAATGTCTGTAGTAGGCATTCCAACTAGGGCCAACAACAACACCTTCCCTTTCTGTAGGTGCAAGCTGTCCCCCACCTCAAGAGGTGGGTTTATTTTTCCCTCCCTTGAATGTGACTTGCTTTGACTAACAAAAGTGACATTCTAAAACTTCTGAGCCCAAGCCTTTCAAGAACTGGCAGCTTCTAATTTTTCTCTCTTGGAATGCTCCCTTTTGGGAGTCAGCTGTCATGCTTTTAGGAAATTCAGGTTAGATGTTTGGAAGATGAGGAGCTGTATTGAGAGAGAGCCTGAGGGATGAAAGACCATCTTGGAAGTTCCCCTCTCTGCCAAGCTCCCAGCTGAATGCAGGCAGATCAGTGATGCGAAGTATACCATATGGAGTAGAAGACCATCCTAGCTGACCTAAGTCAACTTGCAGCATTGTGATATGCCATAAATTACAGTTTTAAGCCATTACGTTTAGGCTGGTTTGTTGCACAGCAGCAGATAACTGAAACATGGACCTATTAAGATCCTTCTGAAAGTTTAGTATTTTGGCAACAAAATCTCACAAAATGTCCTTCCCAGACACACCTCAGTTATGTAGGATTCTATTATATGCAGAAGAATGTAAAAGTGAGGCTGAACATAAAAAGCTTAGAGCAACATATCCTGTATTAAAAAATTACAATATTGGATCTGATTAATTTTGATTGTGTTTTCTCCAATGTTTCTTTCACCTGTCTTCCTGTCACTCCTTTCCAGGTACTTTTCTGTGTCCTTCTGATTCACTCACTTGGTGAACCTAGTACAATAACTAACTATAAGTTCATGAAACTCCTTCCTAAACATCTATACAAGGACTTACTTTTCCAACTAGGTTTTGTTTCTCATTAGAGACACCATTTTCATTACCTACATTTTTTTGGAATTCTGTACCCAAAGACCCAACAATGCAGTGGTATTTACAGAAAAAGGAAACTTACATTCTTGTGACAAGTTTAAAAAAAGAACCTGGTTGGCAGGGTGGATCTACTTCACGCTGTCATCCAGGGACCCAGGTTTCTTGTATTACCAGCATAAGAATTAGAGTAGCTGCCATCTGCTAGGTCGATGCTGGGTTCCTATGGTTCCTGAGAGATGGAAACAGTCATGGAGAGCTCATGTGCAATATTTTGTACCAAGGTCTGGAAATGACTCATAGCACTTCTATTTTCTGTTAAGAATCTAGTCACGTGGCCACACCTGGTAATCACCAGCTGAGTAGCCATGTGCCCAGATGCCATTTTACTATTATAGAAGCCACATACTCAGCTTCCACATAATACAAAAGAAGAAAGAATAAGTTTTGGTAAATAATTAGAAATATGTGCCACAGACCATACACACCATGAAATACTATGCAGCCATAAAAAAGGATGAGCTCATGTCCTTTGCAGGGACATGGATGAAGCTGGAAACCATCATTCTCAGTAAACTATCACAAGGACAGAAAACCAAACACCGCATGTTCTCACTCATAGGTGGGAATTGAACAATAAGAACACATGGACATAGGGCGGGGAAGATCACACCCCAGGGCCTGTCATGGGGTGGGGGTCGGGGGAGAAATAGCATTAGGAGAAACACCTAATGTAAATGACCAGTTAATGGGTACAGCAAACCAACATGGCACATGTATACCTATGTAACAAACCTGCACATTGTGCACATGTACCCTAGAACTTAAAGTATAATACAAAAAAAAAATGCCCCAGACATGTCGCAGTTTTTGAAAGCAATTTTTTAAAAAGTGGAAACTGGCATTCAAAAATCTGAACAATGGCAGCGGGATCATTGTAATAATCGCTTTGGCTAACAAGCGTAATACTTTAAAGTAGTAAGAAGGCTAATCCTTTAAAGGGACGAATCTTTTGTTTTATGCATGTATAAAGTCTGAGATGTTTGTTTCAACCGTTCATTAAAGCATTTTTAGTCGTAGCTAATATTTTACCCCTTCGTGACTTCTATCTTCTTCTAGGAGCCAAGCCTAAGAAGGCATCAACTCAACAGCTTCAGGTCCCAAGGAGATGTGGTATAATTGGCACACAGCAGTTCACATTCTGCTTGCTAGCGACTTCAAAACACTCCTCAAATAAGTATGCAGAGCCATTTCCTCCTATTTTTGACTTCTCACAGCCCTATTCCACCCTTGTATTTTCACCAGTGTTAACTTGTGAGGAAAAACTAGCACCTCATCTTCTTATTTTGTGTGGCTTACAAATTGCCACATATTAAATGGACATATTTGATTTAGTAGCATACATTTAAATGTTTAAAATATGAGGAGTGTTCAGGGAATGCCATTTCACTTAGCAGTCAGTGCTAACATCATTTTTTGAAATGCTCCCCATTTCTACGATGTAGCCAAAGCTTTATTTATCATCAGATTTGCATTTTGTGATGTATTCTTGAGCCAGCCAAACTCATCTAAAAGCAAGCTCATTTAATGCAAAGTAGATTTAAATGTGACTGCTTTAAAATGGACCACCCTGTTTAAATGATCCTCCGGATGTAATTAGAAAAAACTCGAGTTCCTAGGATAGGAAAAAAAAGGGTGAACTAAATGATTTCTCTCTCCCTGGGTAATTTTTGACCACGCACCAATAAAACTGCTGATCATGAAATGATTTATTTTAAATGTAACTTTCCCACAAACGGTTTAACAGGAGGTGGTTTAGAAATGGTACACCACATTTGAGCAGACATCGAAAGTGTGTAACAAACCATGATGTTTATAGCCTTCAGCGTCCCAGACTCTTCAGACAAGAGAGAAAGAGAGGGACAAAAAGAGAAAACAGAAAGAAAGACGAAAAGAAACAAAAAACAGTAGAGTTGTGAGACAATCTATACTCCAATTTTGACTTATATTCAGAAGCATCTTGTTATCTCATGGGGGAACTCAGGCTCTGTTATCCTAACTCAATTTCCATACCAGTAGTAGTGAGTGATGGTAATGTTATTTAGGAGCTATTCACATAAAAGCTTACCATCCAAAGAGGATCTGGTAGTATTAGCATGCTTGTCAAAGCTCCCATCCTCTACACAATGAAGAACCTCGAAACAGAGCTGCCTCTTCCCAAGCCCTGATGAGGCCACGCTTGGTGCCAGCCATTAAAAATAAAAGCCCGTTAAACTTTCAGGACATGCTTCCACATTTTTGGGCACCGCCAAGTTTTCAAGATTTGAGCCAGTTCAGTGATAGTATCAGCAGACCAGCATCTCCTAGGCAATGAAAGTAGTTACCATGGAAACCCCAGAGCTGCACCCATCAACAGCTTTACAATTTTGACAGTTCAGAAAGTGACTATTTAGGAATTTCAATTAGAGCAGAAACATACACATTTAGATGAACAAAATGCTTAAAAAGTCTATAGGAAATGATTTAGATACATATAAATATATATTTTAAATCAGAAGGCAGACTCCTAAATATATTCTGCGTGTAGAAGTGAATTTCAGGAATAATGTAAAAAGCACTTGGTAACGAAAAAAGATGTTAAAGTTCTTTTATCCCTTTTCCTTCCTTGGAAAGGAAATAGGCACCAAGAATAAATAAGTTGTGAAAAATGATCAGCGGATTTTTTTAACAGGGTAGTCACAATATGCCATGCTTGTTAAGTCAGAACTTGTGCATATTATTAAGAAATATTTTAGAATTTTATATTTGCCAATTCCTCATATTTGAACAGTTCTGGCAGGGTAGTCTTTCTTACAACTCTGCTGTAAGAGCTATAACTTTTTTTCCTTTTTATAATAAAGGAAACTGAGGTTCCTGAGGATGGATGGGCTCCACACAGTGGATTCCAAATCAGGACCAGACTCAAATCACTTTGAGCCCTGGTTACTCTTTAATTCATTGGCAACAACAGCTGCTCAAATGAAAAGAGCCACATCAACAAATCTTTCAAACAGAAAGTCAGGCCCCGTTAAATAAAATATACACAAAGCCGAAAACTCAGATCTATAATAAAAGAAACAGGTCCTGTTACTAGAGATACACAATGGTAATAGCAATAATATTAATTTGCAATGGTTAATACTAATATTAATACTAATGCCAACTTCACTGCTAAGAATAGCTGTGCTAGTTATCTTGGTTTTTCTCCTCCATCAGATCCAAGCTCTATGCCCCCCCAAAACTGAACCCATGGACTGCTTCATGTGGGCTCACTTGCCCTCTGCTTCTGGCTGATTTGGCAATGGAGACATACAGAGGAGATCAGAAGGTGGGAGGAGAGAAAGGTTGGTGTGTTCATTCCTCCAATCCCCACCTTGCCTCTTGCACAGCTCCAGCCTCAGGCTAGTTCTTGGTCCTTTCACCATGCTTCATTGATTCCTGAAACCTGCTACCACCTGTGTAAATAGTATCAACATTAAATAACTCTT
The DNA here is from genome assembly GCF_000001405.40 of Homo sapiens. Classification (NCBI taxonomy): domain Eukaryota; kingdom Metazoa; phylum Chordata; class Mammalia; order Primates; family Hominidae; genus Homo; species Homo sapiens. Next base: position 14,292,359 of record NC_000006.12, read on the forward strand.
CAGTTAAACTCTTATCTGCACTATGTATGCCCTGCCCAGACCCGATTGTTACAATAATGAATGCTTATACAAATCCTATATAAATGCTATTTTTTTTTTTTTTTGAGACGGAGTCTCTCTGTCGTCCAGGCTAGAGTGCAATGGCCTGATCTCAGCTCACTGCAACCTCCGCCTCCTGGGTTCAAGCGATTCTCCTGCCTCAGCCTCCTGAGTAGCTGGAATTACAGGCACCCACCACCACGCCAGGCTAACTTTTTTGTATCTTTTGTAGAGATGGGGTTTCACCATGTTGGCCAGGGTGGTCTCGAACTCCTGACCTCATGATCCACCCACCGTGGCCTCCCAAAGTGTTGGGATTACAGGCGTGAGCAACCGCATCCGGCCATAAATGCTTACTCTTAACTCTGCCCCTATTCTAAATGCTTTATGTATATTTAACCTTTGCAATAACCCTATGAGGTAGATGCTGTTGCTCCACCCATTTTATAGATTAAAAAATTAAGGCAGGAACTTTGGAAATGCTTTTTGCATGGATTATTTCCTTGATCCTCATGACTCCCCTATGGGTTGAGGGTAGGGAACTGTGATACAAGACAGAAAAGTTAGGAGACAACTCAAGGGTGCTCAGCTATGAAGCCAACCTCTGTGCCTCCTTGCTCTGTGGATGTCCTCTTGCCCCGTTCTGATACTTTCCTCTGGTTTTGTCCAATTAGAGGTGTAGGATTCCATTCCATGCCATTGTTTTAAACTTCAGCTCTGGCTTTCTGTCAGGAGCCCTCACTTGGGGAACAGGAGAAAAAGGATTTGCCTGGGTAGCAGTGCTGCTGCCGATGGCAGAGAGAGGAGATGGGGCTTCCTGGCTTCTTTTGGCTCCTGGGTCCTCTCCTGTGGCTGAGTGAAAGGAATGCTCAATCCTGGTCTTGGGGTTTTCTAGTGCCCTGTGATGTTTTAAAACAAGGCAGTTAGAACCACTTTGGGGCAAGGGGATGGCAGAAAGGGAAGTAGGAGGTACTAATTAAAACCTGTGGAAAGGGTTTTAAAGTTCCCATACCAAGAAAAGTTAACATACCAAGAATATCGTTACTGCTGGTCTACAGCAACCTCTTCTCCTTGCTTGTCCCCACACCCCATGCTGCCTCACCTGCACTTCAGGTGCAAGCTGCCCCTTCGGATAATTTCCTTCTGTTTATTTCCTAAGGTTTTCTTGTTGTTCATTTTGGTTAGATGTTACCTTCTAGGGAAAGTGAAGGGGGCAGAGAATGAGTCTCGTAAGGCATGAAGTGTCCTGGGTCCAGCGCTCCACGTGGGTGGGCCTGGCCATTTTCATTAGTAATAACAGACACGCTGTACAACCATTCAGGATCAGCTACCATCCTGGGCACTGCAACAAGGAACTAACCAAACAAATAAACTAACCAATCCACAGACAAAATTCCTGACCTGGAAGGACCATGAAGGCAAAGAGGCATCTATCTCACTGGGCACTGAGACAAAGAATTCAAACCAAACCAAACCAAACCAGACTAAACCAAACAAAAACCAATGCACACAGACACACAGACACACAGACACACATACACACACACACACACCCTAGCCTGGAAAGATCCTAAAGGTAAAGAGATATCTCATTCACTATTCTTCCCCCAGAGCCTGGCCTGACACCTGTAACACAGAAAGAGTTTAATAGATAGTTGATAAATCAGTGGGTAAATAAATGATTGAATATTCTATTCACACTATAGACAAACATGATAAGTGATAAAGCATCGAAGAGGAAGAACTTGAGACAGGGTTCTACTGCTCACTCCAGGGAGTCTCTGACTGCCTAGGAATGACTGATACTGGTCTAGGACTTGCTTCTGTGTCTGCAGGACTTCCTGGAGCCTGGAAGTGGGGCTTAGCTGGGAGGCTGAAAAGGTGGGAAAAGCTCATTCATAACCCTGTGTGCCTTTCTCCAAATACCTTTGAGCTGCCAACCTGAGTCATAATTCCTCTGCCCTCCTCCAGGATCTAGAGTATGAGGCTAAAAGAGGGAGAGCCCACCCCTAAAGCAAAGGGGTACAGCCTGGTACATGCAGCAGCTTTGGGCTCCAGTCATCAAGCTGTGTCCAAGGTCGATCCACAAGTTATAGCTATGAGGAGAGCCCTCCCCTTCTCTTGATGTTTGTCCAGTGAAGAGGTCACATTTAGCAGCCTTGTGTATGGCTGACATGGCCCTAGATATCTCTCCTTCCTTTCAATGATGGCAACAGAAAGCAAGAGGCTCATTGTCTCTAGGGCCCACTCTTCCTGCTCTTCCCTCTACTTCCCACAGGCACAGGAGCCTCACCCTATGGCCACCACTACAGGCCCACAGGGAGTACTGCCAGGCTTCCACCGATGTTTGCTTAAGGCCCAAGGGCTCTTCAGTCAGATTGCAGTGGATGTTGCCAAACCTGGGACTCACCACTTCAGAGCAGTGGGCTCCCCTGTGGCCCAGCCAGGTCTGGAAATGCCATCCAAGAGCCAAGGCCTGGAGTCGGGGCCCGAAGAGCCCACATGATGCTCTTCCCACCTGTGGCTGAGCTGGTACCTAAAATGCAAGTCAGATACACTGATGACTAGTAGAACACAATATGCTAGCCTTGGTCTTGGCCATGGCTGGTTGATGTATGGGAGGTCTTAGAGCCTCCAGGTGGGCACAGGATTTGAAAGCTTAGGCTGATCTTAAGGGCTGGAATACCATTTCCTGCCCTGGGGACAGATTATGTTGACCCCCAAAATCCTGGCAAGGGGCTGGGATAGGAGCTCAGATGTGCATTATTTTTATCTCTTAAGAAAAACGGAATGACATTTAGAGCTTTCCTATGGTATTAGAGAGATAGTTGAAAAAATACATATTTAGCCAGAAAAAAAGAGTGAAGAAATACAGCACTACTTTTGCAACTGATGCTGGCCACAGACCTCAAAGCTGTTCAGCTCCTGTTATCAGACTCTCCTGTGCAGTCCTCATGTCTGTTCACCAGTGTGTTTTCCAGTGTATCTATTTTCAATTGAGAAGGGAAGAAATGATTAATCATTACTTTCAAGTAATTGTGAGGCTTTTGGACTTAAACAGCTATGACTTTTGGTTAAAAATTACCTTAAGACATTTATTATTTTGAAACAAATTGCTTCCATTATTTAAAAACTGCACATAATTCTTACACTTATCTCTAAAATGTTTACAATTATATAATGCATTTAAATGTAACTTTATTCCCAAAGCACGTTTATATTCTGGTTCATGGTCACACCACAATGCTCAGCATTCTGATGTAGCTCAGCAGAGGTACCTACCCTATCACTGAGACGCAGAGACAATCACAGACCTAGCACCACCTGGTTTCCTTGTATGAAGCAGGATTTGAACCTGAGTGTGTCTGAATCTAAAATGTGTGCTCTTGTCAACATGGTTGCATCGAGGGTTTGGTTTCCTCTAGGCACATCTGGTAAACCCCATTCTTTAGTATCATTCTAACCCCATTCAACCAGCATTCCCTCTGCCCTTAGTAGAGAGCGGGCTCTGTGCTAGCTTAGCTAGGTCAGGGGATACAGAAATGAGTAGGTCACAGTCTACTCAAGGAAATAGGCACATAAAGAAATATTTACCAATGAGTCTTCATTCTTCACCCAATTTAGCTTTGCAGCAAACCTCCAGAGCCCATATTAAAAACATCCATGGAACAGCCTACAAAACACACACATGCACAAATACACACACACACACGCACACATGTACAGGCACGTACACCAACTATTGCCCATTGGGGAAGATGAGGTCAAGTAAACTTATATGAAGCAAAAGAAAATAATTTCCTGGACCTTGTCTAATTGATTTCAAGGTTTGTGGTCCACCTTTAGATATGATGTGCAATAATTCCATCTCTCCAAGGAGGAACTCTGACGTTAGTAAAATCATTATGGGGCTCTTCTGGTATTCCCAAAGCAGTTAATGGAAGAAGGATGGACACCCAGCCTCCTCTCTCATTAGTGCCTTCAGGGTATTCAGCCAGATCAATTCCGCAGCCTTCCACCCTTTCTTCTGCAGCCTATTACTTAGTCCTTGAATGGGACCTGCTACAGGGCTGAATCTTTTAACTTTTTTTAAAAAAGACTTCATTTTTTTTTTTCCTGAGATGGAGTCTCGCTCTGTCACCCAGGCTGTAGTGCAGTGGCGTGATCTTAGCTCACTGCAACCTCCGCCTCCCGGGTTCAAGCAATTCTCCTGTCTCGGTCTCCTAAGTAGCTAGGATTACAGGCATGTGCCACCATGCCTGGCTACTTTTTGTGTTTTTAGTAGAGACGGGGTTTCACCATGTTGGCCAGGCTGGTCTTGAACTCCTGACCTTATAATCCGCCCTCCTTGGCCTCCCAAAATGCTGGGATTACAGGTGTGAGGCACTGCCCCCAGCTAAGACTTCATTTTTTAGAGCAGTTTGAGGTTCACAGCAAAATTGAGCAGAAGGTATAGAGATTTTCCATGTGTCTCCTGCCCCGACAGATGCATAGCCTCCTCCATTATCAACCCAGCCCCAACTAGAGCAGTACACTTGTAACTTTCATGTGCGTCCATGTGAAGAGACCACCAAACAGGCTTTGTGTGAGCAATAAAGCTTTTAATCACCTGGGTGCAGGTGGGCTGAGTCCGAAAAGAGAGTCAGCGAAGGGAGATAGGGGTGGGGCCATTTTATACGATTTGGGTAGGTAAAGGAAAATTACAGTCAAAGGGGGGTTGTTCTCTGGTGGGCAGGAGTGGGGGTCACAAGGTGCTCAGTGGGGGAGCTTTTTGAGCCAGGATGAGGCAGGAAAAGGACTTTCACAAGGTAATGTCATCACTTAAGGCAAGGACCGGCCATTTACACTTCTTTTGTGGTGGAATGTCATCAATTAAGGTGGGGCAAGGCATATTCACTTCTTTTGTGATTCTTCAGTTACTTCAGGCCATCTGGGCGTATACGTGGAAGTCACAGGGGATGCTATGTCTTGGCTTGGGCTCAGAGGCCTGACATTCCTGCCTTCTTATATTAATAAGAAAAATAAAACAAAATAGTGTTGAAGTGTTGGGGCGGCGAACATTTTTTGGGGGTGGTATGGAGAGAGAAAGGGCGATGTTTCTCAGGGCTGCTTCAAGCGGGATTAGGGGTGGCGTGGGAACCTAGAGTGGGAGAGATTAAGCTGAAGGGAGGTCTTGTGGTAAGGGGTGATATTGTGGGGATGTTAGAAGAAACATTTGTCGTATAGAATGATTGGTGATGGCCTAGATACGGTTTTGGATGAATTGAGAAACTAAATGGAATAACAGAAGGAGAAAAACAGGTATAAAAGGTCTAAGAATTGGGACGACTCAGGATATCTGATTAGAGAGTGCCTGAGGAGATTCAGCATAGTCCTGCCAGCAAAGATTATTTATTTACTTCAAGAGTTAAGAGTGGCAGTTTGGGGATAGCACCAGGAGATATCAGCTGTGATGGCTTGGAGAAACAGTGTAAACCGGCAGTGTAAACAAGAGCAGGGCATGTATGAGTAGTTGAAAACGGTGAATAGGCGTATGACTAGACAGAAGATAGTAGGGATGACAAGTTTTTTGGGGGCACAGTCTAAGTTGGTCTGGTGTCTGGAATGAGACTGGGGCCTAATAAAAAGGAGCATCTATATAGGAGCTTAAATGGGCTGTACCCTGTAGCATTCCGAGGACAGGCCTGACTTCTGAGAAGGGAAAGTGGTAAAAGTATTGTCCAGTCCTTTTTAAGTTGGTGGCTGAGCTTGGTGAGGTGTGTTTTTAAAAGACCTTTGGTCCGTTCTACTTTTCTTGAAGACGGAGGACCGTAAGGGATATAAAGGTTTCACTGAATACTAAGAGCCTGAAAAACTGCTTGGCTGATTTGACTAATAAAGGCTGGTCTGTTATTAGACTGTATAGAGGTGGGAAGGCTAAACTGAGGAATTATGTCTGACAGAAGGGAGGAAATGACTGTGGTGGCCTTCTCAGACCCTGTAGGAAAGGCCTGTACTTATCCAGTGAAAGTGTCTACCTAGACTAAGAGGTATTTTAGTTACCTGACTCGGGGCATGTTGAGTAAAGCTAATTTGCCAGTCCTGGGTGGGGCAAATCCTTGAGCTTGATGTGTAGGGAAGGGAGGGGGCCTGAATAATCCCTGAGGAGTAGTAGAATAGCAGATGGAACACTGAGAAGTTATTTCCTTGAGGATAGATTTCCACGATGGAAAGGAAATGAGAGGTTCTAAGAGGCGGGCTAGTGGCTTGTACTATAGTATAACTTGTCTTTGCTGGTGTGTGGCGATTAGGCCTGGTGGAACCGCCATCAATAAATCAAGCGTGATCAGGGTGAGGAACAGGAAAGAAGGAAATTTGGGGAAATGGGGTGAATATCAGGTGGATCAGAGAGATACAGTCATGGGGGTCAGGTGTGGTATCAGGAATGATGTGGGAGGCCGGATTGAAGTCTGGGCCAGGAACGATAATTGTGGGAGACTCAACAAAGAGTGAGTACAGCTGAAGGAGCGGGGGAACAGAAAGTATATGCGTCAGGTATGAGGAAGAAAATAGATTTTGGAAGTTATGAGAACTGTAGAGAGTGAGTTGAGCATAGTTTGTGATTTTGAGGGCCTCTAAAAGTATTAAAGCAGTGGCAGCCGCTGCACGCAGACATGAGGGCTAGGCTAAAACAGTAAGGTCAAGTTGTTTGGACAGAAAGGCTGCAGGGTGCGGTCCTGGCTCTTGTGTAAGAATTCTGACTGCACTAACCATGCCTAGGAAGGAAAGGAGTTGTTGTTTTGTAGAAGGTGCTTTGGTTTGAGAGATCAGTCGGACACGATTGGCAGGGAGAGCACGTGTGTTTTTATGAGAATTATGCCGAGATAGGTAACAGATGAGGAAGAAATTCGGGCTTGATTGAAGTAATGGGGGCTGTCTGTGAAGCCTTGCGGCAGTACAGCCTAGGTAATTTGCTGAGCTTCATGGGTGTCAGGGTCAGTCCAAGTGAAAGCAAAGAGAGGCTGGGATGAAGGGTGCAAAGGAATAGTAAAGAAGGCATGTTTGAGATCCAGAACAGAATAATGGGTTGTAGAGGCAGGTATTGAGGATAGGAGAGTATATGGGTTTGGCACCATGGGGTGGATAGGCAAAACAATTTGGTTGATAAGGGCAGATCCTGAACTAACTTGTAAAGCTTGTCTGGTTTTAGGACAGGTAAAATGGGGGAATTGTAAGGAGAGTTTATAGGCTTTAAAAGGCCATGCTGTAGCAGGCGAGTGATAACAGGCTTTAATCCTTTCAAAGCATGCTGTGGGATGGGATATTGGCATTGAGCAGGGTAAGGGTGATTAGGTTTTAATGAGATGGTAAGGGGTGCATGATCGGTCACCAAGGAGGGAGTAGAGGTATCTTATACTTGTGGGTTAAGGTGGGGGAATACAAGAGGAGGACGCAAAGGAGGCTTTGGATTGGGAAGAAGGGCAGCAATGAGATACAGCTGTAATCCAGGAATAGTCAGGGAAGCAGATAATTTAGTTAAAGTGTCTCAGCCTAATAAGGGAACTGGTCAGGTGGGGATAACTAAAAAGGAGTGGTTAAAAGAGTATTGTCTAAGTTGGCACCAGAGTTGGGGAGTTTTAAGAGGTTTAGAAGCCTGGCCGTCAATACCCACAACAGTTATGGAGGCAAGGGAAACGCCCTTGAAAAGAAGGTAATGTGGAGAGGGTAGCCTCCGTATTGATTAAGAAGGGGACGGGCTTACCTTCCACTGTGAGAGTTACCTGAAGCTCGGCGTCCATGATGGTCTAGGGGGCTTCCGAGGCGATTGGGCAGCGTCAGTCTTCAGCCGCTAAGCCGAGAAGATCTGGGAAGCAGTCAGAGAGCCTTGGGCCAGAGTTCCAGGGGCTCTGGAAGTGGCTGCCAGGTGAGTTGAACAGTCCGGTTTTCAGTGGGTTCCCACACAGATGGGACGCGGCTTAGGAGGAATCCCGGGCTGCGGGCATTCTTTGGCCCGGTGGCCAGATTTCCGGGATATGTAGCAAGCTCCTCGGGGAGGAGGTTCTGGAGGAACGTCTGGCTGCTGCGGTTGAGGCGTTTGGAGTTCTTGTGTGCTGGAGATGTGGCTGGGGTTTGTCTCACAGTGGAGGCAAGGAATTGCAACTTTTTTCTGTTATTGTACACCTTGAAGGTGAGGTTAATTAAGTCCTGTTGTGGGGTTTCAGGGCCAGATTCCAATTTTTGGAGTTTTATTTAATGTCGGGAGCAGATTGGGTAATAAAATGAATATTGAGAATAACACGGCCTTTTGACCTTTTAGGGTCTAGGGCTGTAAAGCGTCTCAGGGTTGCTGCCAAACGAGCCATGAACTGGGCTGGATTTTTATATTTGATGAAAAAGAGCCTAAACGCTATCTGATCTGGGATAAAGAAAAAGGAGCATTAACCTTGACTATGCCTTTAGCTCCAGCCACCTTTTTAAGAGTAAATTGCTGGGCAGGTGGGGGAGGGCTAGTCACGGAACGAAACTGCAAGCCAGACTGTGTGTGAGGAGGGGAGGTGATAAAAGGATTATAGGGTGGAGGAGCAGAGGCTGAGGAAGAATTGGGACCTAGCTCGGCCTGGCGAGGAGCAGCCTGGGGAGGAGGGGAGAGGTCAGATGGGTCTGTAGAAAAGGAAGATTAGAAAGACTCAGCGACGCTTGGGGTTGGTACTGAGGGGACAGGCGGGAGGGAAAGAAGGAAGATTTGGGACGAGTTGCACTGGGCACAGAGACTAGGAAGGGACTGATGTGTAAAAGAATGCCTGGATGTCAGGCACCTCAGACCGTTTGCCTATTTTATGACAAGAATTATTTAGATTTTGCAGGATGGAAAAATTCAAAGTGCCATTTTCTGGCTATTTGGAACTACTGTCGAGTTTGTATTGGGGTCAAGCGGCATTGTAGAAGAAAATAAGGCATTTAGGTTTTAGGTCAGGTGTGAGTTGAAGAGGTTTTAAGTTTTTGAGAACACAGGCCAAGGGAGTAGAAGGAGGAATGGAGGGTGGAAGGTTGCCCATAGTGAAGGAAGCAAGCCTAGGGAAAAGAGAGAGTAGAGAAATGGAGGGAAGGGGTTCGGGGGTTCTTACCTTCCAGAAAAGTGGGAAAAGGGGTTGGGGCGTAGAGATAAGAGGTTGGGGCATGGAAATAAGGGATTGGGGTGCAGAGATATAAGAGGTTGGGGTGTGGAAATAAGGGACTGGGGCACAGAGATACAAGGTTGGGGCACGGGAATAAGGGATTGGGGCACAGAGATAAGAGGTCGGGGTGTGGAAATAAGGGATTGGGGCGCAGAGATAAGAGGTTGGGGCACGGAAATAAGGGATTGGGGCACAGAGATAAGAGGTTGGGGCGTGGAAATAAGGGATTGGGGGTTCTTGCCCCATAGAAAAGCGGGACTTGCCGCTAAGGGTGAAGGAGAAGGGGTTGAGGGGTACTTGCCCCTCCCCCAGAAAGGCAGAGAAGGGGTAGAGACAAGGAGAGAAGAGGTTGGGGTACTTGCCCCTTTCCCAGAAAAGCAGGACTTGCCGCTAAGGGTGAAGGACCAAGGCAGGCGTCCCTGCATGGTCTGACACCTTTGAAACGTGTGAATAATCAGGCGTCCCTGCAATGACTAAACACCAAGGGAAGGCTGCCTTCCCTGTCCGTGACTAGCGCCGGAGTTTTGGGTCCACGGATAAAACGTGTCTCCTTTGTCTCTCCCACAAAATGAAAGGAATTGAAATTAAGAGAAGGGAGAGATTGAAGAGTGGAAAGGAGAAAGTGGTTGAGGGACAGTGAGAGAGGTTGGAGAAGAGAGTAAGAAGAGGCTGCTTACCTGATTTAAAATTGGTGAGATGTTCCTTGGGCTGGTCGGTCTGAGGACCTGAGGTCGTAGGTGGATCTTTCTCACGGAGCAAAGAACAGGAGGACAGGGGATTGATCTCCCAAGGGAGGTCCCCCAATCCAAGTCACAGCACCAAATATCATGCGCGTCCATGTGAAGAGACCACCAAACAGGCTTTGTGTGAGC